>NC_000001.11:243608364-243759879 GCF_000001405.40 Homo sapiens | reverse complement strand
ATTTTAAATTGTTCTCAGTGGAGTATTCATCTGAATTATTCAATCTGATATTTACAGAAGCAGAACCTTCCTTTTATCCTTCTTAATTTTAATTTCTCCTGCCTTGTGATTTTCGTATTACCATCTCCTCTTTTTCCTTCTTCTTTCCTAGGTTTGTGAAGCATTTACTACAGTTGTTATAAGATTAAATAACTGTTCTCATTTAAGTACATTTCTTAAACTTACACTAAGATGTGACCTTCAGATTGCTTTAATAATGTAAGAAATAAGTTCATTTTAAAAAGAAATCTGGATGTTGGAACAAGACCTTGAATTTTTATTTTTTTTTTCTTTTTAATTCATAATATTATTCATTACCCATCATGTTATTTTGGGAAGGTATAGCATAAAATATGATTTAGTAATTTAGCTTTCACCTAAGTTTTTATTGTACTTTATGATATAGGACTGGCTGTCATGAAAAAGTTAAATTTGATGGACATTCTCTCATCAAATTTGTCCTTGTATTATTTTATTTTATTTTTAATTTAATTTAATTTAATTTAATTTTATTTTTTGGTGAGACAGGGTTTTACTCTGTTGCTCAGGCTGGAGTGCAGTGCAGTGGTCCGATCATAGCTCACTGCAGCCTCGACCTCCTGGGCTCAAGCTCTCCTCCCACCTCAGTTTCCTGAGTATCTGGGACTACTGGTGCACACCACCACGCCCAGCTAATTTTTGTAGTTTTTTATAGAGACGAGGTTTTGGCATTTTGCCCAGGCTGGTCTTGAACTCCTGGACCCAAGTGATCCTCCTGCCTTGGCCTCCCAAAGTGCTGGGATTACAGGCATGAGCCACCTCCCTTTATTCTGTTTTTCAGGGAGCAGCCCCACTGATCCTACTTAACTTAAGTCAGAATGATTTGGCTCTTCTGCTCAGAAACCTCCTGTAGCGTCCCATATCAGTAAAAGCCGAAAGTCCTTTCAGGAATCTATAGGACTCTAGATGAGGTGTCCCCAACCCCCAGCCTGTGGACAAGTACTGGTCCCTGACCTGTTAGGACCTGGGACACACAGCAAGAGGTGAGCGAGCATTACCACCTAAGCTCCGCCTCCTGTCAGATCAGATGCGAGGTTAGATTCTCATAGGAGTGCGAACCCTATTGTGAACTCTGCATGCGAGGGATCTAGGTTGCACGCTCCTTACTAACTCTAACTAATGAATCTAATGAAATCTAATGCCTGATGATCTGAGTGGAACAGTTTCAGCCCGACACCTTCTCCCCCTACCTCTTCCAAGGTCTATGGAAAAATTGTCTTCCATGAAACTGGTCCCTGGTGCCAGAAAGGTTGGGGACTGCTGCTCTAGATGATCTGGCTCCTCATTACCTCTCTGATCTCAGTTTCTGCTACTTCCTGCTTCATGCTCTTATTGCAGCTTTTTTGTCTTCCTGGAACATGTCAGGCATTTTCCATCTTAAAGCCTTGCTATTCCCTATGTCAAGAAAACTCTTTCCCACAGGTATCTATATCGAGCTTCCTCACATCGTTTTAATTTTCCTTAAAAGTTGCCGTCTCAATGAGACTTCCCTTGGTTACTTTAGTCTTCCCCAAAGTATTATATTCCCTCCTTTGCTATATTTTTCTCCTAGCATTTTTCGTACTATATAACCTTTTTTCTCCCCCATGGAAATATAAACTCCGTGAAAGCAGTGATTTTTGTCTACCATCCTCCCAGTGCCTGTCAGAGAGTCTGGCACTTAATATTTGTCAAGTGAATAACAAATGCATGAAATTTATTACCATAACCTATTTAAGAGCTTTAAGTGTTAATTAGATAGCTGGGTGTGGTGGCTCATGCCCGTGATCCCAGCACTTTGGGAGGCCGAGGCGGGTGGATCACCTGAGGTCAGGAGTTAGAAAACAGTCTGGCCAACATGGCGAAACTCCGTCTCTACTGAAAATACAAAAAAATTAGCTGGATGTGGTGGCGTGTACCTGTAGTCCCAGCTACTCGGGAGGCTGAAGCACCAGAATCGCTTGAACCTGAGAGGCGGAGGTTGCAGTGAGCCGAGATTGCGCCACTATACTTCAGCCTGGGTGAAAGAGCAAGATTCCATATGAAAAAAAAAAAAGTATTAATTAGATAAATCTGTATCAAAAAGTAAGTAGAGACTGCAAGTGTAAGAACTTTGACATTGCATTTATTTTTATTTTGAAATAATTTCAAACTTAAAGAAAAGTTGTAAGAATAATGCTTTTTCTTCTTTATCTTTTTTTCTGAGATGGAGTTTCGCTCTTTGCTGCCTGGGCTGGAGTGCAGTGGCACGATCTTGGCTCACTGCAGCCTCCGCCTCCCGGGTTCAAGCGATTCTCCTGTCTCAGCCTCCTGAGTAGCAGGGATTACAGGCACCTGATACCACGCCCAGCTAATTTTTGTATTTTTAGTAGAGATGGGGTTTCACCATGTTGGCCAGGCTGGTCTTGAAGTCCTGACCTCAGGTGATCCACCCGCCTCAGCCTCCCAAAGTGCTGGGTTTACAGGCATGAGCCAGTGCACTGAGCACATAATGCTTTTTCTAATGAACCATTTGAGAGTGAGATGCTCCTTTACTGTTGATTACTTTGGTGCATTTTTGTAGCATTGACATGCTCTTATGTAAAAAGAGTATAACTATTAAAGCAAGATATTAATAGTGATATATCAATCACTACCATCTGATCATCAGACCCCATTCAGATTTTGCCAATTCTTTCGATAATGTCTTTCATTGCAAAATTCTAACCCAGGATCTGTGCATTTGATTGTCAGGGCTCTTTACTCTCTTCATGTGGAATGGCTTCATAGTCTTTCCTTTTATGGCTTTTATGCTTTTAAAGATTACATGCCAGTTATTTTGTAGAGCATCCCATAATTAGAGTTTGTCTAATGTTTCTTCCTGATTAGATGTAGGTTATACATTTTTGGCAGCAATGTCACAAAAGTGATGTTTTGTTCTTATTGTATTCTGAATTGATACTCAATTTTGGTTTATTCCATTATTACTGATGTTAACTTTGATCACCTGAAGGTAGTGACTACTAGTTTTCTCCACTGTAGAGGTACTCTTTTGTCCTTTGTTATTATTTTCTAAGGAGGTAATTTGAGACCATGTAAATATTATGTTTCTCTTTGACTCATTAGTTTTAGCATTTATTGATGTTTCTTGCCTAACTTAGTTGTGACTAAGATGAATGTCAAGTGGTGACTTTCTAATTTGTTGTTTCTTCAACATTCATTAGTTGGGATTCTCTTATAAGGAAACTCTCCATTCATAGATTCATTATTTATTTTTATCAATATGGGCTCATGGATTCTTGTTTTATTCAACAAATGAGTCATAGTGTTTTCGTATTATGTATTTTGATATCCAGATTGTCTCAGATGTGGCCAGCGGGATTCCCTTCAAACTTCTGTGCCCTTTAACATGTCCCCATCATTCTCTGAGCACCTTCTTACTCTCTGGCACAGTAAGATGGTCCCAGCTCCGCTTGTGATATCCCTGCTTCAGCCCTGGAATCAGCAGTTTTCCAGAGACTCTTGATTCTTTTTTGTGTGGAGAATGATATTTAGAACCCTAAATCTGGGTATCAATTGTGTTCCCTGTATTGAGTGTCACTGTTGTCAAGCTCTTTCATTAAAAATAAAATTAGGAAATAATTGTATGACATACTCACTTATTCTTACGATTTCTGCATCTGTATATTAAAAACTGAATTTGTATTGACATTTCAATTTCTATCTCACACCAAAGAGTCCATTCTAGCTTCATCCTTTTTATATTTGTAACTTCCAGTGAGAAACAGGGGTTCAGTTATCTACAATATATGACTTATATGGTTCATCTTCTGTATATAACCAATCTCTCAATCATGCTGGCCACTACTTCTTGTGGTCACTTCCTTGATTGGGCTTGACCCTTTTCTCCTAGCTTCCCCCTACAGTACCAGCAGATTCTTACTTCCTTTGGCCATGCCTAAATACTTAAGAAAAGAAAGGCCTTCACATTTTAATGCATACTTTGGGGATTCCCATATCCCACCAAAGCTTATGCTTTGATCTTTAGGTGGAATTGCTTTATGATAAAAGGGTTCTTTTACTGTTCATTTTGGATGATGTGGATGAGTCTTAGAGTTTTATTCTGGTCTTTACAAATATGATTTGCTATTTTCTAAACTTATCTAATGACTAACTTAAGGCTTGTTATGATAAGATTATAAGAAAACACTTTGGGGAATCTTGAGAGTTTTCTTTGTAATTATAATTTATAATTCTGTAACATAGAGAACATGATTAACATGAAGCTCTAAATGTATCCAATAGTTTTGCTTTCTTATCAGTGAATCTATCAGTATACTAGTAGTAACTGGAGAATTTCAAAGATATGCTTACACTTTAAACCCTCAATTTCCAGTGCTTCAGGTGGGTTTGCACATATGACAAGACAGGCAAGGAGTAAGAAGGAGCCAGTATAAGAATTAAAAAGGAGACCGGGCACGGCGACTTATGCCTGTAATCCTAGCACTTTGGTGGCCGAGGCGGGCAGATCACTTGGGCTCAGGAGTTCGAGACCACCCTGGGCAACATGGCTAAACCCTGTCTCTACTAAAAAAAAAAAAAAAAAAATTAACCAGGCGTGGTGTCGCCCGCCTGTAATCCCCACTGCTCTGGAGGCTGAGGCATGAGAATTGCTTGAACCCAGGAGGCGGAGGTGGCAGTGAGCCAAGATTGTGCCACTGCACTCCAGCCTGGGGGACACAGCGAGACTCTGTCTCCAAAAAAACCAATAATAATTAAAAAGGACTTGAGTGATACATTTATTAATTTGGCAAATATTTATTGATGATTTCCTACATATCAAGCTGCTCTGCTGGAAGACTGTAAGTCAAAATAGGGTTCTTGACTTCATGGAATGGTTTCCTCACTTCAGCATTTTTGAACCCGATCATTCTTCCTCGTCATAGCAGGCTGTCCTGTGCGCTATAAGATGATTAGCAGCATCCCTGGCTTCTGCCCGTGAGGTCAGCTGTCTCCAGCCTTCTTGGCACCGGGGGCTGCTTTCATGGAACACAGTTTTTCTGTGAACCTGGGTGGTGTGTGGGAGGGGGGACGGTTTTGGGATGAAACTGTTGCACTTCAGACCATCAGGTATTAGTTAGATTCTCAAAGGACCATGCAACCTAGATCCCTCGCATGCACAGTTCACAATAGGGTTCGCACTCCTGTGAGAATCTGTTGCCACAGCTGATCTGATAGGAGGTGGAGCTCAGGTGGTAATGCTCGCTCACCTGCTGCTCACCTCTTGCTGCGTGGCCTGGTTCCTAACAGCCACCATCCGCGGCCCAGGGGTGGGGACCCTGCACTTGGTAACAGCACCTCCTATCTCTCCATCCCTCAGCACATTGGCAGTAACCAAGAATGTCTCTATGTGTTGCCAAATGTCCAGTGAGGGTGGGGAGCACATCACTACTCCTGGTTTTGAGTACCACTGCTCACAGTAAAATCAAATGCAGATACAGGCATTCTACAGCTAATCATTCAGTGTAATTATCAACTGTGGTAAATGCTAATTATGGAAAGTACAGAGGGCCATGAGACTGTAACCAAGAAAATAATGACTCCATAATAAATTTGGAGTTCAGTCAAACAAATCAAAGTTTCCCTTGAGTGTATAGTAGGTATTTGATGTCAGAAAAGAAACTTAAGACATGGTCTTTTACTTTAAGGATAAGCTGGCTGTGTATCTTCCAAACCAGTACCCTGTTGAGAGTGAAAGCGTGCTCTATAATAAGGAAACTGGGAAAATAAATAGAGATGAGGCAAATTGTACATAATCTACTTCCAGGCTTTCATTATCTACCCAGAGAATAAGACCAGTATATGAAACACACAGAGAATAATTCAAGACAGTATATACATTAAGCGCTAACCTATGTCACATTATTAGAAGAGAGGGTTCATTGTTACTTCTCCATCTTTGCTTTATAGAAGGCTTCATGGGAAAAGATGGGATTCTAGCCCTTCAATTTAGTTCTGGAGGTTTGCCATAAAATATCTCAATGTTCCTATTCAGTTATTTTACACTCTACTACCTAAGCCCCTAACCTGTTCAAGAGTTGTGTTTGACATAGCAGACAATAGAGAACAACTGGAGAGTCTTGATGAGGAATATATTATGATGAAATGGTTACAACTCCTAGAAGAAACATTCATTTCTCTACCAACCTTGATCAGCATTGAGGTACAAAAGAACAGTATTATACAACTATCAGATGTACATACTGAAAGGACATTTCTTTCTTAAACCAAATTCTAGAAGTTTTTTATTGAAAACAGATTTCCTAGGGTCATTTGTGTGTATATATATCTAAGGGGACATTGTTGGCTTGTTTCTCTTTCAATTTTTAGGTCAATTTTGAAGATACTAGATTTTGAGAAACTATGTTTAGGGGAAAGGGGAAGAAACTGTAGGAAAGTGAAAAATCGTACGCTTTTAGGTTAGTGCTAATCTGCTTACGTAGGAACTTTCTGCATCCAAATACCTTGCTTTATATTCCCTAGCTTTCTTTTTAAAATGTTGCTTTTACTTTAATTTTTTACACTGCTTAAGACCCCATAGATTATACATTTATTTAAGTTCATAGTCATGGAACTTAATTACTTTTAAAAAGGTTTAGGCATGTTCTTTCACTTACTCCTTAGAAGCAGTTCGCATTCTTTGTGTTGCCTGTGAAATCGGATGGTGATATAGGGCTTAAATTTTGAAATATGGGACATTTGGAGAACTTAAGGCAAATCAAAATGGCATAACATGATGGAGGAAGCATGAAGACCTTGTGACTGGTAGAAACAACAAGAGGATGTAGGAAAAGACTATGTATTGGGAAAGGGGGTAGAAACTATGCCAAAATTCCATTTGCCCACTTCAGATGTCTGCTTGGGACGAAGTCTGTGCCTGGGAAAAGGGATGAAAACTTTAACTTCCTTTCCCCCCACACTTTCATCCCAAGAGCCTAGAATTAGAGCTGATTTAATGGTACTAACTAGTACTGTTAAACTAACTAGTACTGTTAATAGACCTTTATGACAGCATCCTCAGAGTTAACTATTTATATAATTGTTCTCTGGAGCAAAGCATTCAGAGTTCCCAGAAGCTACAGTGAATTTCACACCACTTATAAACCAAGGGACTACCTGCAAAGTGTTTCTGTTATTTTAAAATCTAAAGTCTATTTGAATTTGAAAAAATAAAATGAAAAGTTGAAAATACCAAATCTAAGACTTGTGTGTAATTGAAATGAGGTTGTTTTAGAAAATTAAATTTGGCAAGTGATTAATGCTTAATAAGGAGTAATTGTTTTATCTATTTTAGGGAAAAATTAATTTAACAAACCTATTATTATGTGAAATTTAGGTAATGAACATGGGCAGTACATAATTTCCGTAACATTTATAGCATCGACCACAAAAAGGCTGAATTAGTGTCATCAAATACAAAGAATGTTCATTTCAGAATCAAAGCTGTTCGGAAAGCAGTGCTCATGGTTACTATAATTAATTCAACATTTCAGGACTATTTAAAATTGTTATGTCATATCACTTTAGTAGATATACCTTTCAGATGCATATATGCCTGATTTTGGATAAGTGTATTTTTTGTACTTTTCAGTTTAAAAATTTTTTTCTTAGTTAAAAATGTTCTCTCATTTAATGATTTTTGGTTTTGTATCAAAAGCAAAGAAACTTTCAGTTATCTCTTAAATAATAAAACAGAGGTCGCCCAACCTGCACTGTTTTGGACCCTGTATACAGCATTAACCCAGCTCAACAGCTGGCTGTGATTGGCTAGCCAATCAGAGTACCAATTCTGTAGTGTCCTCCACCTTTCCCTGAAGCTAGTAGAGTTTTGGTTGAGTGGGGTATAAATGTGAATAGCAGATTAGCTAATTAAAATGGTCCTAGATAGTTGTAGGCTCCAGTGCTGAAGTTCCTGGAGGATAATCCAACCTCCCTAAACTCTCTTGATACCGAAGAACTCACCTGGAATAGCTACAGCCTACTTTTCTGTCCCCCTCCCCACCTTCCCTGCAAGCTCTCTTCCCCTGTGGGCTGGGTCCTGTTTCAGCTCTTCCATGCATGTCTCAGGAACTGTTCCTGTAGACAAAGGTCCATTCAGCACTAGAATGCTTTTTCCAGGCTGCATTTCTAAATCTGAGTCCCTGTGTATCTTCCAGATCAAAGTGCCCCTCTCCCCACAACAATGGACTAGATTTGCCAGGGCCTCATAGCAGAATATCCTGTCTGACTCTCTCTTCACTAGACTAAGGAGAAAAAATAACAAAACAAAAATGAAGAATTTATTTTAAAAGATGAATATAGCATTCCCCCCTCCCCTAAAAAGAAATGAGCAACTATTACTTACACAAAATGTAGATACAACTGTATTCCTTGTAGGATTACTTATTAAAGCTTTCTTGATACGTAAATCTAAATCCAAGCGTTTGGCATGAATGTCTGCTTCATTTATCATTGCCTTGGATATGCTTTAAAGAGTCTGTCACAGCTGGTCTACAAATGGATTTTTGCACACACCAAAACTTGCCTTGTGGCAAATGTTTTATAAAAGTTGTATAGAGGCTTCAAATATTGTTCTTCATGATTCTTTGCTGCTAATTTTCCAGAAGTCCTTCTCTTTCAGAGTCTTTTTTTTTTTGAGAAGCATTTAAGAAAATTATGTTGAGTTTGGTGTAAATTAGAGTTGTGACAAATTATAGAGCAGTTTTCACAAGTAAAATTGGGCCAGTTAGCTCAGAATTAGAAAATTAATCTTTTTCCAAAGCATTATCTCACTTTCTGTGTGTTTGTAGTGTTTATAGACTGATAGTATCAGTACCAACAGCTAAAACAAAAGTCAGTTTTTTTTCTTTTAAAAAACATTATTTCTTTTTAATGAACAGTTATTGAAGTATTGGCCTTAATTGGCTAGGTGTGGTGGCTCATACCTGTAATCCCAGCACTTTGGGAGGCCGAGGCGGGCAGATCACCGGAGGTCAGGAGTTTGAGGTCAGCCTGGCCAACACAGTGAAACTCCGTCTCTACTAAAAATACCAAAATTAGCCAGGTGTGATGGCAGGCACCTGTAGTCCCAGCTACTCGAGAAGCTGAAGCAGGAGAATCACTTGAACCCAGGAGGCAGAGTTTGCAGTGAACTGAGATTGTGCCACTGCACTCCAGCCTGGGCGACAAAGGGAGACTCTGTCTCAAAAAAAAAAAAAAAAGATTAGCCTTAATCAACAAGCATTTACTAATAACTTACCGGTAAAGAGTAGTATATTCAGATTTAAAACATTTTGAAGAAATGCCCAGAAGTGGAGGACAAAGGCATTGAGCTTGCTGTCCTTGTAAAATACCGTGTGTGCGTGCGTGCGTGTGTGTGTGTGTGTGTGTGTGTGTATACGTGCATGCATGTGAGAGGGGAGAGAAGGTGGGAGAAGGAGGCATACAGTAGTTGCAAGTTAACATAATAGAGAATTTTTAAAACCTTAGGACACATCTAAAGATGATACAAAATGTATGTTAATGCAAGATAAAATTTGGTTTATTAGGGACAGTGAATTATGATTTGAAATAATTGGGGCAAATTTAACCAAGTAGGGTTAAAGCATTACTTTGAAGGAAAGGAGGGTATTAAGCAGTACATAATTTTGAGCTAAATTCATAGGCAAATCAATTTCTATTTAGAAACTGAAGCACTTTCTTTATAAAAGCATGACTTCGCCTCTTTATTTGCTCAAGTATATATGAGGCCATATTGCATTTAGCCTATATGAGAAGGAGAAGAAAGCAGAGAAGGAGTTATGAGGGAGATTGGAAGAGAATAAAAAGATCACTTCACTTTAGATGCCAAGCAAGAGCAATTATTACAGCATTATTTCAGGATTCAAGGACAACAAGGCCTGTAAAGAGGCCACTGATAACCTCATTGGTGACTTTGTGGAGATCAGTAGTAGTGATGGTAAATAGCAAATTGGCAGGAGTTGAAGAGTGAATGGATACTGAAGAAATGGAGACAGTAATCATAGATTTTTCTTCTGAGTTATTTTTTGATAAAAGGAAAGAAAATAGATTACAGCAAGCCAAAGAAAGATGATTTTTGGATGGGATGTTTTGAGCATATTCATAGGTTGAAGGAATGGAGTCAAAATACAGAGGGAAATTCAGAAAGATCCAAGAGAGAGATTCATCATTTGACATAATCAAATCTTAGATGACAGTAAAGATGGGACACAAGAAAGAGGGGTTAGTTCTTGAAAACTAGAATGTATATGACTTCCTTTGTTATAAGTAAAGGGGGTATTCTGAATGTTTGAAGTAGAGAGCTGGGAAGTTGAAGTTATTCACGTTTAATGGTTTCCCTGCTTTCTAGGAAGTAGGGATATTATAAAATGAGAAAGATGGGGTTGGGGGAGAGGGGTTTGAAGAGGGATAAAGAAGATGTGGCATGATTCCTTTAGAAAACAATCATGATCAAGTCAACTAGAGATGAATGAAATAATTTCCCAGGTTTGCATGAATTATGATAGATTTATTTGGTTTAGTTTCGTGATTTAGTATAGCAGTACTCAGAAGAGTTCCACATAAAATGGATTATATCATATACCTAGGATGGAGACTGATAAGATGTGTATAATGAAAGAAAAAGTGGATTAGAAAAATATAGAATGATCAGGGATTCCATAGAATGAGACAAGTAGAAGGGAACTTTTCAACTGAGAAAATAGGGAGAGAATGAAGGACTAGAAGTGGTAAGGAAAAGGAAGGAGGAAGTTCAGTAGAACTGAGGAAATTATAATATTAGCTTAAAATATTAAAGTATTCATGCAACAGTGTGTGAGGGCCTGCCATATGCTAGGTACTGTTCATTTGTATTTACAACAGATGAAGTACCAAGTAGTACTTCAATGGAGTTGCCACTAGATGTCACTCTGATTCGTATGGTAAGGCTAACCTTGACACGTACTCAAGATTGGGGCTTTGAAAGTCAGACCTGTATAAACAGGCAATTTTTAATAGCCTATGCAGATCAATTATTATCCAGAAATCTTATTCATATAACTAAACTACTTTTGAGAGAATATTCTCATGAGAACAAAACCTCTCAAATTTGAAAACTTCAAGTTATTAATACTGTGTTTGCATTATTGATTTATTTTTATTATCTTAATCACACTAAATAGTATTTCTCAGTGAACTTTAACATTTTCTGAAATTCTACATTAAAGTTTGTGAATTTATTTTCTTTATATTGTTTTATTTACTTATCTGCTGAATTGGTTCTGGTTTTATAGGGACTAATGAATTTTTATAAGCACTAATAAAGCTGCTTCTTTCTAAGTGGTGAAGATTGTGCATGTGAACACCAAAGTTGTGAGTATAGTTTTACACTGTGTGGCCTTCCTATCAACTAGAAGGAAGAACACTGTCTATCCAACTCTTGTTTTTTTTTTTAAGTCCCATTCTTGTTTTCTGTTCAATCAGTATAGCTTTGCCTCTTTATCTTCATGTTGAAATAAAGGGTCATGTTTAGAAAGCTTGTCAGAATTCCTGCCTATCCACAATTTTTTACAACTTGGTTCTTTCAAAACTCTGAACAATTTTGGATAGCTATGCAATATAAATATTAAAACACAAAAAACCAGACACACCAGCAAACCATGTTGATTTCCACTGAATCATATAAACAATACCCAGGCATGCTATATGTTTTAAAAGATATATTTATGTTTGTGTATCTTTTAATTTTTTCTTCATTTGACAGGGGAAAGATGTGAGATTATACAGCATTGCTAGAACCGTTGGGCCTTAGTATAAAACAATTTACAGGTCATTATGGTTGAAAAAGCATAGCATCACATTTTTTGCATGTGCTATGCCTAGGTATATTTCAGTGCTTGCTTCAGACATCGTTTCATTACTGACTCTTACCGATCCTTGTTATTCATTATGGTGTTAAGTAATTTTTAGCCATGTTTGCAAGAAACCTATACTATGTCTTAAGTGAACTGTCTTACATTTATCCCTTTTGATTTTTTTTGTGTTTATGGATAAAGTCAGTTTACAATAAGTTTAATGTGGTTTTCTATGGTAATTCCCAATGTGATACTAAGAGTTTCATTTGCAAAGGTACCTATTTACTAAGCATGTTGTTAGGTGACATTTTGGTCTGTTCATTGAAGATATCTCCCTTTAATCTCTTCATTGTGTCTTGGGAAAGAAGTCATTTTGCTTTGGACAAGTGAACGTGAACATGCTGCATTTACTGGGCTGTACTGGGTAGAATACAAGTACAAGAGAGAAGGTCAGTTACAACTTAGCAGCAATGGCAATGTAATTTTACTTTCCCCAAATTTTGTTGAAGCAGTCATTAAGAATTACACTCTATAATAAAAAAAGCATGAAAATATGATGCAGAAATCTCCGTTAATGAAATTCCTCTTGAAATTATCCTCTAATTCCCTTTTAATTCTCAAATTCACTTTGCCGTATAACTTTCAAAATGAAACTTCTGACATTTTTGTTTGTTCTTGGAAAAAGTGTTCATTTCTTTGCAGTTTTACGGTGAAAATAATATCCTATATTTCTTTTTAGGAATATATTCCTTTGTTGTGCTAGGAACAGTAAGTTTATTTAGATAATAGCCATCTACACTCTCTATCTCTAATCCCCAAAGGCCTTAACCTCCATTAGGAATAAATGTAGATTTTTGTTTGCTTGAAATAGCTTCCTGGGCATGTAAAAACCCCTTTGACATCATTATTTAGGGGCTCCCATCCTCCCAATGGAATCACAGCCTAATACAAAAACTTTGCAGCTGGTGAGCTCCCAAAGCCCCTTTTGATGATTGTTGTTAAACTCAGCATGGCAGCTTGCAGTTGTTCCTTTCCTGTACTGCCCCCCACCCCCCATGTTCATGTTCTTCATGACAATAAGAATTCTCCAGAGGTAAAACACAGGGCTGAAAATTTCTGATGTCTCCTTCATCCTCTGTTTCTTCTCATTCATTTCCATTCTAAGCATATTTATAAAGTTTAGTGGAGATTATCAAGGGAAAGATTCGTTCTCTCTCTGTCTCTAATAAACTAATTTCTTTAAAAACAAACAATTGAATATGAAAGCATTGAATATGCAGAGGTTATGAGACCCCTCATCTTTTCTGTAGAGTATGTTAGTTTCAGGTACATTAGAAATCAGAGGTCCTGGCTGTGACTTAGTTCAAACTTGGAAGTTTCTTATGTCATACTGTGTTCTTTATTGATAAAGTGAGGGGACAAATAACCCAAGCAAGTGGTAATTAAATGATTCATTAACTCAGTGACACACTAATTGACCAGAAATTTTCTCTAAAGTTTTTGTTCTAACTTTAACTGGCTGTATCAAGTATAGGCTTATGTTGGTATTATTTAGGGGAAAAAACATTTATCACTCAAGATAAAGCATGTTTAGCTCATTGAAATGTAAAGACAGAATACATTTTAATAGAACAATTACATATGATATGATTTAGATATTATGAAAATAACAACCATAATTGAGAAAGATCTAAAAAGACCTGGGACTGATAGGCAAGTTAGAAATGGACGTTAAATTATTGAAAAAAACATACGGAGACAAACATGTTAGAAAATAAAGTACTCCCTATGTTTGAGTTTAGTAAAATAAGCATTAAAATAGGGCTAAATGGAAACAGAAACAAAGCAAAGTAAAAAATCATCGAATGAACCTGAAAGATCTTTTTGATTCCACATAGGGAATTTGTTTTTTTGAAGTTTTTGATACCTGCATTAAAGCTGAATTTTAGAGTTAATGCAGATTTTGCTACATTAATTTTTTTGAAGTTCTGAATGCATTGAGTTTTGGAAACTATTTTCAGGATGAATACTACGGGTACTGCAGATGCTCACTTTATATAATTATGTGTCTTGAATTAATTAAATCCAACTTCAAAGGCATGTATCGGAAATTCCTTTGCATAATAAAACCTCCATTCCTAGTGCCAGTGATAAAATGAGCAGCAGAATGGTTTAGCAGGGGTGTCCAGTCTTTTGACTTCCCTGGGACACATTGGAAGAGGAATTGTCTTGGGCCACACGATGAGCTAAAAAAAAATCAAAATAAATCCTATAATGTTTTAAGCTCGTGAATTGTGTTGAGGCGCATTCAAAGCTGTTCTGGGCTGCATGTGGCCTGAGGGTCACAGGTTGGACAAGCTTGGTTTAAAGGGAATAGGGACAAATTCTCATTCCAGAGAGCTGAGTACTGACTAATATCATCTATTACCACATACTTTTGTGACCCTGGGCAAATCACTTTTCCTGTTTTTGTAAAATAAGGAGGATTGACCAAAATCATCTCTAAATCCATACATGTTTTTAGTATGCTCTGATCATTTTAAAATAAATAATTTTGACATCATATCTCGTTTTCTTAAAAATTGATATGCCCAATACTCTTATTTTATTTTTGAGACAGGATCTCCCTCTGTTGCCCAGGCTGGAGTGCAGTGGCATGATCATAGCTCACTGCAACCTCAACCTCCTGGGCTCAAGTAATCCTTCCACCTCAGCCTCTTGAGTAGCTGGGACTGTACAGGTGCACACCACCACGCCGGGCTAATTTTTAAATTTTCCGTAGAGGACGGGCTTACCATATTGCCCAGGCTGGTCTTGAACTCCTGGGCTCAAGTGATCCTCTTGCCTCAGCCTCCCCACCCCAAAAAAATCCTGCTAGGATTACAGGCCTGAGCCACTGCCCCCAGCCTACTTTTATTTTAGAACTGAGAGCTTCAGTAAGATCATAACAGGAAAATTTAAAATCTCCCCCATTACTTGTAAAAGAACATCTTTTTGAGAAATTAAAACAATTTTTTTTTTTTAATGAGCCAAGGACTCATGAATACAGTGATCACAAATGAGATCCCCTCATGGTGATGAGAATAGCCATTTCAGAAATTACCACTGAACATAGTAAAGAATACTGGAACTAATAGTTGGTGGTGTAAAATGTGATCAATCAAGAGAGTCTATTTCTGTTATGTATAATAATTTTTTTTTTTTTTTTTTTTTTGAGACGGAGTCTCGCTCTGTCACCCAGGCTGGAGTGCAGGGGCGCGATCTCGGCTCACTGCAAGCTCCGCCTCCCGGGTTCACGCCATTCTCCTGCCTCAGCCTCCCAAGTAGCTGGGACTACAGGCGCCCGCCACTACGCCCGGCTAATTTTTTGTATTTTTAGTAGAGACGGGGTTTCACCGTTTTAGCCGGGATGGTCTCGATCTCCTGACCTCGTGATCCACCCGCCTCGGCCTCCCAAAGTGCTGGGATTACAGGCGTGAGCCACCGCGCCCGGCCAATAATTTTTTAAGGTAAACTTTTTCTTAAAGTATGAGATACATAAAAGTGAAAGAATCATAAGAATACGGCTCTGTAAATATTCATGAAGTAAGCACACCATGTAACACCTATATTTAAAAAACAATATTACCACTACCTTATAAGCCTTCCCTTCCTCTACCCTTACAGTCACTATGTCCCACCAAGCAAACAGGATGACTTCTACAGCATATATTAGTTTTGCCTGCTTTTGAGTATGAAATCATATGGCGGCTTTTTCAAAATTTTATTTGTGAGATTTATTGATGTTGTTGTTTGTACTAACAGTTCATTCAGGCCCATTGCTGTATTATATTTCCACTGCATGACTAGACCCTAGTTTATCTGTTCTATTTTTGGATTTGTTTTGTTTTTACATTTTGGCTGTATGTCTTTGGGTGTGCATACATACACATTTCTGTTGGCTATGTACCTAGAAGTGGGGCTGCTGGATCATAGAACGTGCATATGTTCAACTTTTGTAGATGCTGCTAGATGCTTTCCTTAAGTGTTTATTCTTTATATTCCAGCAGCAGTTTGTAAGTTTCATTTGTTCTATATCTTCACCAACACTTGGTGATATTGTTGGTAGAGATGGGCCTCTTCCTATGGTTGCTGAGGCTGGTCTTAAACTCCTGGGTGTAAGCAATCCTTCCAAAGTGCTGGGATTACAGGCATGACAGGTGTAGCATCAACCTTGGCCAGTAATGTGGTTTTAATTTGTATTCCCCTGATAACTAATGAAGTAGAACTCTTTTTCATATATTTACTATTCATTTGGAGTACTAAAAAAATTTTATGACACTTGCATTTTAAAATATTAAACTTTCCTATGTTAAGAAGGGCTGTTGTAAATTAGTTATTTTCTAAAACATTTGGCATAATCATTCAGTCTATCTCTGTATTTGATAAGTTGTGAAATTCTTTGAAAATATTTTTTTCCTTAATAAAACTATGTATTTCAAACCATGGAATTGATTTCAAATGCTACCTTCTGAGTGTTATTAAGACTATTTATTCATAGTATTTTTGAAAACAAGACTAGAAAAAATGAAGTGTTTTAAACAAACAGTGGTTTTTCCTTCCAGGGAAGTCTTCTCCAGGAAATTTCTTTGCCAGGATGGTCAAGTCCCTTATATACAAAGTTTTTCTTCCAGGGTAAAATTATTAGGCATTGTAGAGGGTATAATTAAAAGTTGATCTGCCTAATTTTAGGTTTACCGGCCAATTACAACCTTATCATTGAACACAGAGTTTGGAAGATTCTTGAGCAGTATTTTAGAGCTGTTTTTGAGATGGAGACCAACTTTTCTATGTGCTCCTACATTTTCGAGCCTTCCGTGCACTTCCTTTGGATCTATGTGACTAATTTCTGGCCAGTGAATTGGGAGTGAAAATAGTATGTGTCACTTTGGCCTGAGTCAGTTAAGAGCTACCTCCTTCTGACCTCTTCTGTTGCAGTGGTGAACATGTACATGTTCTAAAGTTTATGTAATAAGCTAGTGTTTGTTGTTGCAGTCAATGTTAAGTAACCTAACAGAGTTTCATTTTCGTAAATGGTCTACACATTAAAAAAAAAAAAAGATACCCTGGAGCCCCTGAAGTATTTTTATGCCCATAATTTTTTGTGAGGAGAGTGCTGCTTTTAAAAAAGACTAGGGTTTGGAGAATATTCTTATGAGGAGAAATCGGTTTATGATGGGAAAATGAAAAAGGACAAACGTTTGTTTTATCATTCTACCAAATGAGAAGAAAACTTTCACAAAAAGAAATGTTTAAGGTTTCTGATTATCAGAGTTTTATTTATTTATTGAGATGGAGTCTCGCTCTGTCGCCCAGGCTGGAGTGCAGTGGTGCCGTCTCGACTCACTGCAACCTCCACCTCCTGGGTTCAAGTGATTATCCTGCCTCAGCCTCCCAAGTAGCTGGAATTACAGACACCCAGCACCATGCCCGGCTAATTTTTGTATTTTTAGTAGCGACGGGGTTTCGCCATATTGGCCAGGCTGGTCTTGAACTCCTGACCTTAGGTGATCGCCTGCCTCAGCTTCCCAAAGTGCTGGGATTACAGGTGTGAACCACCATGCCTGACCTCTGAGTATATTTATTATTTACATAAAATCCGATTCTTTTTATAACATTAAAATGATTTTAACTAGTTTTGCTTTTTTAAAAAAATTTTCAATTTAGAAAGGTGGTAACTATCAGAGAGGCATATGACACAGACATAGTGGCCCCTTGGTATCCACAGGGGATTGGTTCTAGGTCCCTTGTGGATACCAAATTCCAAGGATGCTCAAGTCCCTTATATACAATGGTGTAACATTTGCATATATTGTTCTATTGTTATTTTTTACTGTTTTTTTTTTTTTTTTTTAATTTTCTATCTGTAGTTGTTTGAATCTGTGGATGAGAAACTCATGGGTTCAGAATGGCCTATCACAAACTGAGGATTATGGAAAAATACTGTAGTTTACAGGTATTTTTTTGAATACTGTTAATACACAGATTACTCATAGTCTAATTGGAATAAAAATATTGAGAAAAATAAAGTCCTTTTCATGTTTAATTTCTAATTCTTTGCACAAAAGTAATTTTTTGGAAAAGCTGTTTCTTGGTTTCATTTTAGAATTCCCAGCAACCAAAAGTAAGCCTGAGTTTGTACCAAGGTAGGAAGTATTTTATGTTTTATCATGTCTGCTAGTCTTGTTCTATTAAATTACTTAAGCAACTTTTTATTATAGGAAATTTGGAAATGTGAGATGTTTAGCGCAAGGAAATGATCTTAAATGGAACAAAGCTGGTTAAGAAATTGAAATGAATAAAAAGCATGTTATGAAAATATGCAACACTCTCATTGACCTAATTAAAATAGCTTATATAAGATTATTGTTGGACTATGTCTTATAAACTTACAAGGGAAATCTTGATTCCCTCTCTTTAACTCCTTATAGTTATTGCCAAGATTAATATTCTTACATGTATATTTTTACAAATATGTATGATAGAATGGTCACTGTAAAAAAGTTCTATTTTTAAAAACATTGGCATGAGAAAAAGGTGAATGCTTCTTAATAAAGTATTGGAATAATTATTTATTAGTGTTACTGGAAATGGGTGATTCAGTGTCACTTTTTGGGTAATGTGGATTTGTTTTGAGAGAGAAACAGAGAAACAAGGAAACAAAAATCAACAAAGACTAACAAAATTTCTGCCCAGAATACAGGTACGTGCTTGCATGAAACAAAGGTCCTATCATGAAAATACTAAAAGTCTTTGAAGAACTAGGCTGGAGTTTATACTGTTAGTGTTCTTTATTGACGATATATGGAACATACAGTTATATATGTGATGAAGTTAACATTAATGATATAAATTTCCCAGATGTAGGGCTAACACTTCTTCAAAAATCAGATTTCCAGGTATTTCATAGCTTGAACAAATATTTGATGAGACCCCTCCCCTGAAATTTTATACCCTAGAACTTAATAAACATGCCTGGAAATTTTATGTAGATGAAGGATTGGGGTTTCTAGAGGTCATGGCATAAGTCATTCTTTCCTACCTGGCCTTTGTACAATACCAGATACAAAATGAAGAGTAAAGATAGAGGCCAGAACGTACCTACTAATGATAAAAGTCCAAGTGGAGGTCTGAGTTTGAGAGCCAAATGACCTGCTGATTGAATTGCAGAACCAGGCCAACTTTTTCAAGCACTCTTCAGGTAATATAAATAAGACAGTGCCATAGAGCAGGGATCTTTATGGTTTTTGTTGCAATTGTAGCTACTCTGTGATTGTGATGCAAGAAAACAGCCATAGACAACAGGTAAGCTAATGAGTGTTCCAATAAAACTTTATTTAGAAAAATAGGCATCAGCCTTTTGTAGTTTGCTGATCTCTTGCATAGAGGAAAAAGACACATTTGCATTTTCTGCAGCCTACTAGTTTCAACAGGAAGAAAAGGGGCCCAGCAGAATCCTGCATACCAAGGATTTTTCCTCACCAGTTTTTCACCAGATTAAAATACTCCATCTTACCAGAATTAGAGGGAGTAAAGGGAGAGAAAGAAACCTGAAATAATACTAATGAGCTCTCCTTGTAAGAAGGGGGGCAAACGCTTTTCTCACAAGTCCCTTGACACTAGAATTTACTCTGTTACTCAGGTATACTGCCTTTCCAGTGGACTCAAAAGAACCTATAAAACACAAAGTATTACTTTGTACTGCATTTTCCAAACTTGAGAGTCTAAGTGTTTTGGTGCTAATTTTGGCGTAGTTTCTCTCATTTTTTGGTTAGTGATAGTAAAACCATGTAATGAGCTCCCAGGAAGACCCTTCTCTTCCGGCCACATGTGTTGACATGAGGACATGCCTTTGGCCTATTTTGGGCAGCTAAGATTACTCTGTGGATTGATTCATATTTTTTGAGTGCCTACAAAATATGAGGCATTTTGATAAATGCTGGGGATACAATAATGAGCAATAGTGATCCAGTTCTTACCCTCACAAGAGCTTGTGCTGTGTAACAGAAAGGGCTCTAAAAAGAAAAAGTGATTTCTAATTTGAAACCTGAGGGACTAGCAGCACATGCCAAAGGGGACAAAGTTCAGCATGTTCCGGGATTTGGGGAAAGCATTGTTTATCTGGGGAACAGAGTGTAAGGGGAAAATGGAGATAGATAGCTGAGGCTGGAAAAGGAGGAGGGAGCCTAGGTTGCAAAACCTGTGTAAGCACTTGGGTTTTGTCAGATCAGCAGGACGTGGTTGAGGGGCTTTAAAGCCATAAGATGATGTGAATGATCTCTGTTTTTGAATATGTTCAGTCTAGGTTAGAAGAGGCAAAAATTGAAGACCTACATTTGTACTGTTCAACAAAGTAGCCATGGGCCAAAGTGGCTGTTGAGCACTTGAAAGGTAACTAGTGTGATGAGGAGTGAGTTTTACATTTTTGTTAATTTTGATTTAAAAATTTAACTTAAAATTTTAAACAATATGTTTTCCTTTAACTTTAGTATTTTGATTGGACTACATTTCACATAAGTTATTGAAAATTTAGAGTGCGAATTGACCTATATTATAGGTGTAAAATTCACACTGGATTTTGAGTTCAAGATATAAAAAACAAGAATGTAAAATATCTCAATTTTTTCTATGGTTATATGTTGAAATGATCATATTTTGGATATACTTGGTTAAATATATTATTCAGTTAAATTTTACTCTTTCTTTTTGCTCTTTTATGTATGGCTTTTAGAAAATTTAAAATTACATGTATGTGTCACATTATGTGTCTTATTGGACTACTCCGGCCAGATTCCAGTTCAGAGGCTCTCATAGGAATCTAGATGAGAGATCACCATGATCTGTGCTAGGGTTGTGGCAAAAGCATAAGGTTTGAGAGTGATCTAGGAAATAAAACATAGGATTTGCCATTTGATTAAATGAGAGATGGTGAATTCGTTATAAAGAAGGAAAAGGGAGCCTCCAAGCACAAAAATACAAGAAAATGTATGGTAGCGGAATGGCAGATTCAGACATGTAAACAAGCAAAAACAATGCATGTTATTTTTTATTGACAAACTAAAATAATGTAGTTAAAACAATATTCTTCTACCATTGGATTTTAGCATTTTTAATGTTTGCTTTTTAGTATATACTACCTAATTGCTTCTTTAGAGTTACATAGTTTTGCATTTCTTAGATTGTAACTGAACACTAAATTTTACAGTGTGTAATGGTTTACCATCTTTATTTCCGTGTCATTATCTGTTCATCCTCAACGAGTACTAAGTGGGAAGTGGGACTGGAGACATTTATGTATACTTTTGAGCACATAAATTCTCTAAACATTTTCAAATTTGATAATATAAAATTTATTTACATTTTCTTTAAGATGAAGCTTATTCCTTCTTAAAAGAACAAGTACTTTATTTACATGTGAAGGTTTACTAGACACCTCCCTAAAGTTGAAGCCCTAACAGTATCTGATGAATGTTAAACGTTTAATACTTTCCCCCATTGTCCTCCTAAGAAATAAGATGCATTTCTAGCTTCATTTTCCAGTCTCTTAAGCTTATGAAAGTAGTCGAGACAGTTTGTTGACCCCAAAGAGACCTTTTAGTCTCTGGCTTGTTAGACAACAGGGTCTGTAGTCTTCATTGGCATTCAGATCACAGGCAGCCACTGGGCTCAGTGCAAAGCCAAGCACAGCTTTAGGATTTAGACAAAGCCACCCTGGCAAAGGAACCCAGTTGTCAGGGTAGCTGGCTGTATTGTAAAGAACTGTTGCATAATGGAGAGACCAAGTAGAACTATTAGGATGCAAATGTGAAAAAAATGGTGGAGCTAACCTGCAAAAACAAACATTTCTTTTTTGGTGAAGAGTCTAGTCATTGTTGCTTTCTTCTGTTTTAACTTCTCTGGGCCAGGGATGTAGTCGGTGCAATTTGAGTATATTAGTTATCTTCAGTCATAATGCCATCCTATATTACTTTAAAATGAACAGTTAATTTGTAGGAAGAGACCACAGTACTTCAATGTTTTGGAATCTTTTCATAATTTACAAGTGCATCCTACTTTAGTCTAGATCAATTTTATATGTGATTTTTATTCTAGATTAGATGGGAAATCCTTTTTGCTCCTGATTTTATTTCATCTGATTTATAACAAAATATTGTTCTAATCATTGCCATCCAATGACTTCTCCCTGTGGATTCTCATAGTTGTCCTATTTATTGTAGAATTTTTGGCTCAAGAGGAAAGCTACTGAAATCCTTAAAACAAGAATTGCTTTATTTTACTAATATCTTAAGGAAGTCTACCCTGTCCCTTTTCTCCTTTTCACTTTCTTTTGTTTGTTCATCCCTGTATTGAGTGCTCACTTTTTCTTTTGCTTTCTACTTCTTCATTAGTTCTTTTCTTTCTACTTTTCATCTTTCTTAGCAAAACATTGTAGAACCCACACTTTGATAAATGCTGTGGTAGGGAAAGGGAATACTAGTAAGAAGAAGAAGAAGGAATAACAGAAGGGGCTCCTAACCTGGATTTAGGAGTCAGGGAATAACAATTACACCCATGCCTTACTGAGCTGTTACTACACGCCAAGCACTATTTTAGGTGTTTTACCTGAATTAATCTCATTTAATTCTCATAGCAACCTTATGAGGAAAGCGCTATCACCCCCATTTTGCAGATGAGTATGAGGCACAGAGAAATAAAGTGACTTGTCCAAACTCACATTTTGTGTATGATAGAGCCAAGAAAGGCTTTCTAGAAGTTTTGAGCTTGAAGCTGAGATCCGAAGGTAGAGTAAGAGTTGCCTGGTACACTGTGAATGGAAGCAGGTTATGGGAAGAGGGACCAGCAAAAGTGTGACAGAAAGGACTCTTGCACCTTTCTGGAAGTGAAAGTAGATTAGTAGGGTTTGAGGGATTCTGTGAGAAAGGGACTAGTGAGAAATGATGCTGGAAAGATTGCTCTATGTTCAGATAATTTACATATGTTATTTGTGTGTGACGGTTCATTTATTCAGCAAATACTTGTGTCTATGAAATGCCAGTTGCATGGCTGTTATCTGTTGGGAAGGTGGAAAGAAAATAGCAATATAGGGGTGGCATACATCTGGATGAAGTTACGTGGACTTTGAGGTGTTTTAAAGTAGATGAATCTTAAGCAAAGTCTTAGTACGTCTGTTTTGTTTCAAATCAGCATATGCCTTGACTTTCTCATTTTGTTAGGCTTCCATTTCTTTATCTTCGAACTTAGTACTTGCAAGGCTCCTAATTTCTTTAAGATTGCTGTATAATACCATTCACTTCATTCTTGTTTTGGTTTGCCTTTGAAATAGCTTTAAGAACAAAATACCTCTATAGCTGTTATTTTTCTGACTTTTAAACCTTTATTGGTAGGGCCATTCTTTTTTCTAATTCTTGCTTCTCATTTTCTTCCAGGACTATGATTCCTTCAGCCTTCTTTAGTTCCTTTCTTTCTAGTAAATTCCATTAACAGTGGGCATCAAGTACAGCCATTTAAGGCCTTTTATGTTTTTCTTGACCCCAGGTTTTTGGAATCTGAATGTTGATTTATCACTAAGACAATGATTGGTAATTGTAATTTCTAACATTGATTACTCACTATGGTATGTGCCAGGCACTATGCTAATTGGTTTATATAAAATAACCTAAGCTTTAGAACAACTTTCTGTGGTAGGTGTTACCAAATTATTATCATCCAGTTTTCTAGTGAAATGGGAGTTTCAGAGGGATTGTTATCCAGGTTACACTGATAATAAGTGGCAGAGCCAGGATTTGAATCCATGTATTTGACTACAAAGCATATACTTTTTACCCCCATCTCAAGCTTTCTGTCTAGCACTTGCATTTTCTTATTTTTACAGATTAAAAAAAGTATGTGGCAGATGGTTTAGGCTAAATATAACCAAAGCTAAATGCATCTCCCCCTAAATTACTTACCACTGTACTTAATATTTATTTAGGATGTATTTTGTGTTTAGCACTAGCACAAGGAAGAATAATTTTACTTTTTAATAATATTTGAAATACATACTTTGAACTTCAAATTCATTCTCCCATTCTATTTATTCTTCCATGGCATTGTCTCAAATACCTGTCATTGGCTTCTCTCCTCTACAGTTTGACCCATCAGTTGGGTTTACATTTGTTTCCCACAGGTGATTGTGGTGAGCATGCACCCACTTTTGCAGCTATCTAATAAAAAGATGGAAATAGTTGGACAACTCATATCAACTATGAGAATGACTGGTGATGACTGATAGTAAGAGCTGGCTACTCATGCTAACGTTTGTTGCTAGGTATGTTACAGTAGTCTCTAATAAAAATGGTGGAAAATGTTATGAGAGGAAACGCAACGAAATATTTTTCTGGGTATAAAGTAATGTTACAAATTGCTTTTGGTATGAGTAGCCAGTTAAAGTTTCAAATATCATACTTAGATGATATTTTTAGAAACATGTTGAAAAATAGTCATGTGGTGCAGAATGATGTTTCAGTCAATGATGGACTGCATATATGACAGCGATCCCATAAGATTATAATGGAACTAAAAAATTCTTATTGCCTAGTGATGTAACATCATAGCACAATGCATTACGTTTTTATGGTGATGGTGGTGTAAACCAACCTATTGCATTGCCAGTTTTGTACAAAAGTGTAGCACATACAATTATATACAGTACATAGTACTTGATAATGATAATAAATGACCGTGTTACTGGTTTATGTATTTATTATACTGTTGTCATTTCAGAGTGTACTCTCTCTGCTTTATTTTCTTTTTTAAAGGTTAACTGTAAAACAGTCTCATGCAGGTCCTTCAGGAGGTGTTACAGAAGAAGGCGTTGTTATTGGAGATGGCAGCCCCATGCACATTATTGCCCCCAAAAGCCCTCCACTGGGACAAGATGTGGAGGAGGACAATGATATTGATGATCCTGACCCCGTGTAGGTCTAGGCTAATATGTATGTTTATATCTAAGTTTTTAACAAAAAAGGTAAAAAAAATTTAAGTAGAAAAAAGCTTATGGAATAAGGATATAAAGAAAATACTTTTGTACAGCTGTACAGTGTATTTGTGCTTTAAGCTGTGTTACTGCAAGAGTCAAAAAGCTACAAAATTAAACAGTTTATGAAGTAAAAAAGTTATAGTAAGCTGAATTTATTATTGAAGAAAGAAAAATATTTTGTTATTGTAGCCTAAGTGTACGGTGTTTATGAAGTCCACAGTAGTCTACAGTAATATACTAGACCTTCATATTCACTCACCAGTGATTCACCCAGAGTCACTTCTAGTCCTACAAGCCCCATTCGTGGTAAGTGCCCTATAGAGGTGTGCCACTTTTTTTTTTACCCTGTGTACTGTATTTTTACTGTACCTTCTCTATGTTTAGATTTGTCTAGATACACAGATACCATTGTGTTAGAACTGCGTATTCAGTACAGTAACATGTTCAGATTTGTAGCCTAAAAACTAGGTGTTTCTATGATGTTCACTCAGTGAGGAAATTGCCTAATGATGCATTTCTCAGAATGTATCCCCATCATTAAGCAATGCATGACTGTAATGGAGTAATGTGACCTGGTATTCTTTTTCCTTTTTATAGTTCACACTGTATATTTTTAAACAATACTTCAGTGTTTCAGTTTATTTGTGAACTTTGATTTGTGCACTCATTTACACATTCATACATACATTGATTCACTCCTTCATAAATACTTTATTGATGAAATATTACTTACTGGAAGTGCCAGTGAGGTACAGGAGATACAGCAGTACACAGTGCTGAAATAGTCACAGCCCTCATGGACTTGACAGTGTGTTTATCATTGGATTGGATTTAAGAGAATTAGCTAATTTTTTTCTGTTGAGAGTTCATGCCATATTTGACTTTTGGATTTTCTGAGATTTATATTAATACATTTGAAAATTTTGGTTTTAGAATTAGGCTAATGGTTACAGTTGTACCTCAGTTTATTGTGCTTTGTTTAATTGCACTTTGCACATATTGCATTTTGTACAAATTGAAGGTTTGTGGCAACTCTGTTGAGCAAGTCTATCTGTGTCATTTTTTCCAACAGCATATGCTCACTTGATTAGCATTTTTAGCAATAATGTTTTTAATTAAGATACGTACTTTTTAAAAGACATAATGCTATTGCACATTTAATAGACTATAGTGTAGTGTAAATATAACTTTTATATGAGCTGGGAAACCAGAATTTCATATAACTTGTTTTATTGCCATATTTATTGTAGAGGTCTGTAACTGAACCCAAAAGGTCTCTGAGATATAACTTGTATATAGATTTTGATTTGGTCACTACATATGTTTATGATTGTTAGCTTATACTTATTGGCATTCTGAAATTTTCCTTTTTTCACTTAATATTGTTTTTGTGCTCTGTCCGTGTGCAATGTAGTTACAGCTGTAGCTAAAGCTATTGGTAGGTTATGCCTTTTAGCTGCTGTATAGTATTCCATTTGAATATGTAGCACTACTTTTTATTTATTCTTTAATTGATAGACTTTTAGAATATTTCCCCTTTTCCTCTTCTAGTCAGTTAATACTACAATAATTGAGGTCTCTTATGAGTCAAAACTTTAAACAGCTTTGAAAGAGAGCTATCTTTTGTCTCATTAATGTAATTTTAAAATAGAAGTATTTGAATTTTGCCTTTAGTATTTTTGATATTTGGAGAAAGTTCCAGTTGACTTAGTTTAAATGGAGTCTAGTTTGTGTGCTTTTCATACCTTACCAGTAAAAGTCCTGAACTGGTCATTTTACTTGGAGTGTATGAATTGGCATAGCACAGTACTGAACAGGTAAAAGGAAACAAAGTATAGGAAAGCAGCTAATTATAGTAATTGCAGCTGGTTTCAAAGTACTTCTAACAGTTTGTGCATAATGCTTACTTGAAAGCATCAAATGGGTGCTAGTTGTGAAATAGAACACCTGTTTGTTGTTGAGCATGTGTTTATGCAGATGATTGTTGTTGTCAAAGCACCTTGATGTAGAGTAGTCCTGTTTACATTTACATTCTCCCCAAAGGATTAACAGTGTTCTCTCAATAAATTTGCAGTCTATTCTCCTCTCAAAGGCTGCTGTTTGGAGGGTGGTGTGAAAGAGGCAACAAGTGCTTGCTAATCACTTGAATATACATAATTAGCTGCAGTCTGGTGCACTGGATTCTTTGTAGAACCATAACAATACTGATTGGCAAATGCACATAACAATAGATGTGTCACCATATAGTCCTTGAGAGTGCTGGTTGTTTGTTCATTGGTATTTATTACTTATTTTTCTCAACATGAGTTAAATTTTTATTATCAGTACACAAACTCTTTTCCTGTTCTTTTAAATGAACCAGTGTGTTATATAACAACTCCGTCATCACTAAGAAGCAGTGTTGTAAATTTCTAGACTACCTAGAGTCTGAGGGTATTATTTAAAAACACATTTGCTGTATTTAGTAATTCCAAAGATTGAGAAACGTCCAGTCAGCCACCATCTCTTCCCTTTGGTAGGCTCAGCAAGGGAGTGGAGAAGCTTTTTAATGGAAGAAAGAGGCAGCTTTAGGTATGCTGTGGTTGGAAGGCTGTTGGCATGGGAAAGCTGGAAGTGTGGGTATCTTGTGTGACTGGTCTGGGGAACATCTTAGCTTTTTCTGTTTGGTCCTTGGTTGTCATTGCCCAAGTCCTGACCGTTCTGGGCTCTTGGCTGCAGAGCTTGTGGTTTGCCATCCTGCGTTGGTTGCAAAGGTTGTGGCTCAGAGTTCTGTGGTTATACATGATCTCACTGTTGTCCATTTTATATTCAGCCTCTCAGTGGGTAGTGTTGTTAAGATGAGGCGAAATTTATTTAGAAAAAATATGTAAATCTATATGAGGAACAATATTAAGTAAATAATGTAGATGGCATGTGAATATGACACAAATTGTGAAGGTGGTAAATGAAATTAGGAAGAAAGGAAAAACCGTTACATGGTAATTACATATGAGGCATTTCACTGAGTGTTTTCCCATTTTATTTCATTTTATCCTCTTCAAAGCTCTATAAGTACAATATCATAATCCTGAAATTATAAATGAAGATTCTGAGGGTTAGTGAAGTACATTGGTCCATGGTTGCACAGCTAATAAACAGGAGCTGGAATTCCAACCCAGAGCTTACTGACTTGAGCTTACTGACTTTTGACTCTAAAAAGAGGCACAAACTATTAGTTTACAAATGTGATCATTCCATGAACTGAGATCTTTCAGTGCGTCACTTCTAGTGCCTTCTATTTCTCTTCACAGAACACTCTTTTTGGATAAAGAGGGTTTAAAAAATAATCTCTCTATTGATTTTTAAATAGCTGCGGTGGCTAGCTTCCAAGTCTGCAACTATGTACTTCCTTGTTTCAAGCTGGCCTCACTATGTGTGTAGAGGACGCCTTGGCTTATCCTAGTTACTGTTGCTGTACTGAGACCATCCAGTAAGAGTGACTCAGAGCTTGCCCATTACCTCTTCTTGCCCCTTAGTTCTTGCTGTATATCAAAGCAAGTGTTTTCTAAATTCTTGCAGACTCTTTGTTCTCTATTGCCTTATTATTGGTGATATTGCATGCCATTTATCTTAAACGTATGGATGGTAGAAAACATGAGCTGCTACAACAACATAATATATATCTACAGCAGGCTATTATATATATTTTTTGCTTTCATTTTGGCATGTGGTAGATACTTACATATAAGAGTTTATGCTATGAGCAGAAATAATCGAAATGTCACGGGATCCTTCAGGTGTCACTCTGCCAGCCGGGAACCATTGTGGCCTGTGGCGCCCCTGCTTGAGTTTCACTCACTCCCACTGTGCTCGTTCCACCCACTCAGCCCGGCAGGCTGCACTCAGTTCGCCCAACCCGGATCCCACGCCTGATGAGGGCAAACCAGGCTCAGAGCACTGAAGGGTGTGTGAGAGAGCTAACACAGGGTCCGGCCAGCTGTGGTGGGGCAGGCAGCTCTGGGTGCTGGCAGAGGTGCCGGCTCCTTGCCAGGCTGCAGCTGGAGCAGGCGTACCACACGTAGTTTCTGGTGCAGGTGCTGGTGTCTGGAAAAGGGGGATGCGGTGGCACCTAAAAACTTGGGGA
Organism: Homo sapiens; assembly: GCF_000001405.40. Taxonomy (NCBI): domain Eukaryota; kingdom Metazoa; phylum Chordata; class Mammalia; order Primates; family Hominidae; genus Homo; species Homo sapiens. Next base: position 243,730,772 of record NC_000001.11, on the reverse strand, counting down.
CGCCAGCAACTGCAGAGCCTCAAGGAGTGGGTCAGGCGTGCTCTCTCATTCTCTCCACCCGCGGCTCGGCGAGCAGGGGGAGCAGGTTTCAGCTTGTTCAGTCCCACCACCTCACCCCAGCCGGCGGCTCCCAGGCTGGCCCAGCTCCACTGCCACTTCCTGTCACATGGGGCAGCTGCCCAATGCAGGCAGAAGGCAGGAAGGCTATAGTGTTACAGCCCTGGCTTGGGAAATCCTGATGTCTCGGCCCCCAGAAGTGTCACTGCTTTTCACTCCTGCAGTCCAGCAAATGGGAGCATGTCACCACCACAGTTTGGTGAGTTGGCCAGGAAAGTGTTGCAGCCCTTTTCATGCCCACTGTTGGGTGGGTCCCGAATTCTGGTCCTTTGTCCAGGAAGAATGAGGTTACGTGGACAACTGGAAGGTGAGCAAGGTGGAGAAGTTTTACTGAGTAGCAGAACAGCTCAGCAGAGAGGAGACCCAAAGCGGGCAGCTCCTAAGGGTAGTCCTTACTTACCTTGAGTCCAGCTGAAGCTGGGGTTTTTATGGGCTCAAAATGGAGGAAGTGTGTGCTGATTGGTCCCTGGGCAGGAGGAAGTGCGTGCTGAGTGGTCCATGGGTGGACCTGGAAAAAACACCATTTCATTGGCTGAAAGGCGTAAAGGAAATTCTCCCTCCAGGTTGTGGATTCCAGCTAGAAGGAGCAGCCAGGTTTTCAGGCTTCATGCTGTGTGTGCCCTGAAGGTTGGGTTTCACTGGGGACCTGTCCCAATCTGCCTAGGAATTTGTCTGCCTCCTGCCACTATCACAATTTTATTTCTGAAATACACAAATATTTAAAGCTGTTAGGAAGGTGTCAGTAGAGAGACTTGGAAAATACAGGCAAGATGAAAGTAAATTATTCTGGTAATAAAGTGACCCATTCTTATTAGGGAAAATGAAAAATATACATAAAGAAGAACACTGTAATCTATCATTTATTGTCCAGAGATATTACTAATATTTTATGTCTCCTTAATCTTTTGTCTATGCACATATTTTTATTTTTAAAATACAACATTTGGAATTTTATATCTTGCTTTTTTTCTCTTAATATTATGAACGTTTTCCCATATCATTAAGGACTTTTAATAGCATTTTATAATTATTTACCTAACAGTTCTCCCTGATCATTAGACAGTTAAGATAGATTTCAGATCTTTTTTTAAGGTAGATTTTTATGAGTGAAATTACTGGCTCAAAGGATATGGTTACTTTCATGTCTCTTTATAATCTATGAGGTACTTGATTTTTTTCCTGGAAAGGCTGTACCCATTTATGTTCTCACCATATTCTCATGCTTTAAACTCAGTGCATATGCTCTTATTTTCACTAGTATTTTGAATTCCACCCTTTTAATCTTTTCAAAATCTCAAATCATTACCTCTCTTGTATTACCAGTCTCTCCCTCTCTGCTTTATCATTCACACCGGCATATAAAGGTGCAATAGTATCTTCCATCCTAAAAAGAAAAGCCCCCTCTTGACATATTGCTTCCCATTCTGCTACTGCCTCTATTTCTGCTTCTCTTTTAATAAAATTTTATTGCATGGTTTGTCCACACTGGCATCTTTCATATTCTCACCTTGTAGTTAATTTTCTGCCCTAAACTCTAGTTTATTTGGATTTCTTACTCCTCTGAAGAGTCTAGTAAAAATCATTGACATCCGCGTGAACATTTTTCTCTTTCTTTTTCTCCATCTCTTAATATCATTCAGCACAAGTAGCAACTCAATTCTTGAAACCCAACCTTGGTTTCTCCTAACTCATTGGCTCTTCCTTTCTGATCTTGTATCAGTTCTTGATACACTACCTGATGCCTACTTATTGGAGGGCCATGTGACTCCATGGAGGACTCCTTTCCCTAAGGAAAAACTAAGTTTCCCTGAAGTCCTTTTTGTCTCTAATAACTTTTTACCTCTTCTGGGATGTCTGGCATATGACTCTTGCCTTAGAGTCCATAGACTGCAAATGAGTTTGTGCTTTTAATGACACGTACTTTAAAACTCATTGATCTTAGTTTTATTAAGTCTTTAGATTTTTGAAAATTTTCTTTCAAGTGGTTATTCTTTGAAATCGTGAAGAACTGACAGCATATGACCAGACAGTTTTTCTACAAAAGCATTGGGATTGCCTGTCCTGTCCTATCTGTTCCCATAAAGTTTTAGGTGAAATACAAAGGTTTATGATCTAAATTCACAATTGCTAGTATGATGCATTAGCACACCATAAGTTCACAGTACTCTTTGCACTATATTCCTGAATGATTAAAACTTACAGCTGGCATAGTATCAAGTGCTGGCTGCCCAAGTGTCTCCCTCACAACCTATAGATAGAGTTTATTGCCTGTCACAGAAAGGGAGTACACCACCTGGTTAGAACTTTGGCGGTTTCTTGGAGGGAAGAAAGCAAGGATAGTATGTACTGAGAATCAAAGTTTGGTTGAGGTTGAGTGAATACTGGGTGTGTGTGTGTGTTTGATTAAAATTGGATGATGACCATTATGCAACAGCAAGGGATTCAAAAAATCTTACATACTGTTGGGGCTTTCTATTGAATCGTTGATGCGTGTTTCAGGAGTTTGCTGTGATGAACAATCAAACCGTTTGCCAGGGTGAGGCTCTCCCTGAATAGTCAAGTCATGTTAACGTACACTGTGAGTTGTTTAGGGAGTTGATAGTTTTAGTCTTCAAGTTGTATGTGGTTTCTGTTAAACTATTAATGTCATAGGACTACAACATACTACTTCAAGCTCTTAAAATGGCTTTCCCTTATTTTTGAGAGATGTAGCTGAGTGCTGCTTATAGTCAGGTCAATTCTTATAAAACACCAACATCCCTCTATGCCTAAATATCAAATCAGTGTTATAATTATTTTTTTAAACTAAGATTATATCAAATTTTTTAGTTTGATACTTACAAAATAGTTATGATGCTTTTTTTTCTTGGTTCTCTTTTTTTCTTTGCTAGAAAGACTTTGAACTATAAGGATGGAGGTTCCTTTTCTGCAGACTTAAGAAAGAGGATGTGAAACTTGGTGTCATGAGTTCTAAATACCTCAAGTTATTGTTGCAAGAATAGGGTTTTCAGTTTTGCAATTTCAGCCTATAAATTACAATGAAGAGTAAGAGTCCTTATAATAATAAACTTTTGGGGCTGGGAGCAGTGGCTGACACCTGTAATCCTGGCAATTTGGGAGGCTGAGGTGGGAGGATCATTTGAGGCCAAGAGTTCTAGACCTTCCTGGGCAACATAGCAAGACCCTATCTCCACAAAAAGTGAACAAAATTAGCCACGCATGGTAGTGCATGCCTGAAGTCCCAGCTACTTGGGAGGATTGCTTGAGTCAGGAGGTCAAGGCTGTGTTGAGCTGAGATTGTACCATCGCACTCCAGCCTGGGCAACAGAGCAAGACCCTGTCTCAATCAATCAATCAATCAATCAACTAACTTACTTTTGGTATTGTATGCTGATTTATGAAGGTTGAACCTAGGATTAAATGTTGTCTTTTGTCTGCCCTTTATTTTTCTTCCCTTAACAGATGCCATGTTGAGCTGCCTTGTCCTGATTTTGACCCACAATGTGTATTCAGCCTCAGCACTTATTATGTAGGTTAGGCTCCTTTTAAATGTTAATGTTTCACATTTATGCTTGTGTGAATTGCTCATTTTCTGTCATAACCTGGGGGTATGGAAGGAATCTGTTGAAGACCAAGGAGGTGGGCTTTACCACAATACTGACATCTCTTCTCAGCTCAGGCAGGGAGCCTTGGCTAGGCCACCTATTGCCACTGCCTAAGTAGAAGGTGATTGGCAGAATCTTATCTGCTTTGCTTTGACTTTTCATTGCCAGAGTTTGTTGAAGGATGCCAGATGTTTGGGAAAACAAGTTTCTTTTTGCTTTCTATCCCTATTCTTGCCAAATTCTTACCTGTTTTTTCATGAGGATGCCCTGGCTTGCAAGAAAAAGCAAGAAAAATAAAAACATAAGTTTGATTCTTAATTTGAGCATTCTGACCCATTTTCAGCTTTATATATCCTTGGTCCATTTTTCTTCCTGTTATTTTGACAACTCTCATGGCTGTGGGACTGAGTGCTTGTTCATAGATAAATGTTAACTTTCTTTTGGGTTGAAAAAGAGAATATTGGTTGCTAAGTTGAGCAACCACAGACTGAGATTTTCAGAAAATTGACAACTTCTTTTGAGAATTTACCTGTTGTAAGTTATAGAAACTGAACTTAAATATTACCAAACAACCATATTAAATATTTGCCATATTTTAGATTGTTCCCTGCATTAATTGAGTTCACTTTATAGGTGTAAAATATTTTTATATTTAGTAAGCAGATCAAATAATATTAACCCCACAACTTTTTCCCACACGTTAAAAAACACCTGACTCTTCATCCAGATAATTTTTCCAGATTTCACCACTGGAATTTACTTATACATCCTTTAATACCTAAATAATCAGTCTTGTTCTGATATTATCTGCCTTTCGTAAATAATTGAAATGGATTTGGCTTACATATTGGGGCGTGGGTTAACCTCCAGTTGGAATTCTAAATTTATCAAACTTAAGATCTGTTAAAATGCCCAGCAACAGAATAATTAAAACAGATTTGAAAAGATGAGTAGCACCCACCAGCATACTAGACATTAATGTTGGAGGTATGAAATTCCAGACATTAATGTTGGAGGCATGAAATTCCAGAGCTGCCTGCACTAGGCCTTTATGAGAACTAACCTTTTAAAAAGGCCAGTAGCTTTCCTAGTCTTCTACGAAGTGCCAGATAGATGAGTGAATGTGTATAAACACCTTTCTGTGTGTACTTTTTAGCTATTACTTTGAAAATTGTAACAACATATATATTGCTTATCCATTTTGAATCAACTGTGACATCTTTTAGCCATGTATATGTGGCATATGTATTGTTTTCATTAAATCGTCGAAATTATATAAGCCAGTTACCACTTTTCACTAATTTTTTTTGGCAATGGTATTTTGGAAGAATTAAATATATTTGAACTGTATATTGAAGTAGTCAAAGTGACCTTCAAAAGGAATGTAATGATCTTAAATATAATATTTTATCTTATTTAGTTGTCACAAGGACCTTATTTCTGTGGTTATGCCCCCGACCCTTAACCCTTGCAAATCTCCGTATGCAGTGAGCAGTGTTACTGCTGGAGTATATTATTCTTGTCTCTGAAGTAGAGACACAAAAAAGGCTGAGTTCTGTTCTGTTATTCTGCTAGATTGGTCACATATTCCTGGAGAGTGGTGTTATAATTTTTTTTCCTGCATCTTTGCAGATAGCACAGTGCCCCCATGGAATACTTCACTCACTCTAGTCACTGGTGAAGTCCTACTCATCAACCCTTCAAGTTATAGCTCAAGTTTCACCTCTTGTATCTTGTCTTCCCTTGTCACCATTTGAAAGTAAACTCTTCCTTCTGAAACTGTCAACACTTTCCAGAACTTTTCTTACTGCCCTTATTGCAGTTTCATTTCTTTTTCTCTTTTTTTTTTTCTTTAAAGACAAGGCTCGCTCTGTCTCTGAGGCTGGAATGCAGTGGCCTTATCATAGCTCACTGCATCCTCAAACTCCTGGGCTCAAGCTAACCTCCCGAGTAGCTAGAACTACGGGCATGCATCATCATGCCAGGCTAATTTAATTTTTTTTTTTTTTTGGTCTAGACAAGGTCTTGCTATGTTGCCGAGGCTGGTCCTGGACTCCTGGCCTCAAGTGATCCTCCTACCTCAGCCTCCCAAAGTTCTGGGATTATAGGTGTGAGCCACTGTGCCCAACCCTACTTTTGTTTCTTGTGTACCTGATTTTTCTTCTATATTGTAGGATATTTTATAACAATAGTTGCCTTTTCTTCATCTTTTTTCCCTCAGAAACTGGAAAGTATTTTGTTGGCCAGAGATCTGAATGATTTAAGAATGATTTTAGTTTAAAATTCAGTTTTTTCTCCCAGGAGATACTGAGCTCTTAAATTAGTATTTCTTAAAGGGAGGGCAATAGTCCACCTGTATTAGAACCCCCTTAATCCTTGGTAAAAGTGTAGTTTTCCAGAAAATGAAATTAGAACTTGTGGGTCTGGATCCCAGAAGATGGATGCATTTGTATTAAGTGCCATGGTAAGTCATATTTACACAAAAACTGAAGATTCATTCCCTTAAATTATTATGGAAATAAATAAACATTAAGATACCATAAGTCTTATAATGTAGGAAAAAATTCCTTACTTTTGCATTTGAAAAAAATATGCTTTTGAAAACTAAATTCCTTATTGATTCTCTGTTTTTGGTCTTGATTACTGATTTGCTCACCTAATAGTTCTCTAATGTATGTAGGTTTAAGGAACTAAAAATAGAGATATTACTGACTGAACTAGTTAGTATGTAAAGTAGAAAATGGTACAACTGCATACTCAGTAACGGGTAGTTTTACCTTTTTCTGGATTCTTTTTTTTTTTTTTCCCCTCAATTTTTCTAGATTTTGGCCTACCTTGTATTATCTTGTTTGTTTGGTGTTAACTTTTTCTTTTGAGGACTGCAGGGATGACAGTCTTGTTTTCCTCTCCTGTATCACACAGCATTGTTACAGTGGCTCAGAAAAGCATTTCTGAATACTTTGAGGATTATTTATGTTTGTTATAAAATGAAATTTGTTGTTTCTGACTCGGAAAATAAGGATATAAATTTCATAGGAATGCATTTTAAATGAAGTTTCTTGAGAGAGACAGCTTTAACTTGAATTTTGCAGCAGCATCTAAAACGAAGCCAATGAAAACACCTTTTTTTCCCCAGACAGATATTACTCTGTCTCTCAGGCTGGAGTGCACTGGTGCATTATGGCTCACTGTATCCTCCACTTCCTGTGCTCAAGTGATCTTCCACCTCAGACTCCCAAGTAGCTGGAACTGCTGGCAGGTTCCACTATGCTTGGCTAATTTTTTTTTGTATTTTTTGTAGAGACAGGATCTCTACCCAAGTCTCAAACTCATATGATGTCCTCAAGCCCTCCCACCTTGGCCTCCCAAAGTGCTGAGATTACATGCATGAATCACAGTGCTTGGCGTCAGTGGAAACACTTTACTCTTGATTGTGCCATTTTCCATAGGGGTTGGTGGCTGGATTGTACTTTCTAGTTGTGAAAGTAATGGTGAGGTAATGGCTTTGAGTCTAGGGATCAGATCCTTCAATCAGTAGTAATATAAGTGAGAAGTATTAATATGACATAGTGAATTATCTATAATTTCTAGAGAACATTTAACTTGCATTCTTAGATCTGGAGATGGAGGACCGGTTGATTCAGACTACATTGGCTTCAAAGTGATAAATTCTATATTCACCTCTACTAGGACATATAGAAAAAGAAAATAGCTTTGAAAGTATGGCTCTTTCTTTCTTCTTTTTCTGAATAGTGACAGGCATCTATGAATAGTGATGAATTCAGGAAAACTCCTAGGCTAGACGTTATCTTGACAGTTGGTGGACAGATGCTCCTGATTTGAGTGTGAGACTGAGGTATTCAGAAAGCACTTCAAAACACTCTCCTATGCCAGCTAACATTATTTTCGTTATATTGTGATTGAGTTTTTAGTTGCTTTGTAATAATCCCTCAGATAAAGGGCCTGGTGTGAGCTGGGAAAAATGTTTATGATTTATTTTGAGCATAACAGCATATAGTCATTTTTATAAATTGTTTTTCAGACCTTATTATTACTTGTAAACTAATGTATTAAAACACATATTAACATATTAACAATTTCACATTGAACATTTTAAATGAAAATAATAAATGTTAATGTTTAAATGAAAAGTGGCCTTGATAATTTTGAAAATGGGTGCCCAGACTTACTGCATTTCTTGAGAAAGATTAATTGCTTCCTAGACAGGGTTCTTACGGTGATAGTTGTTTTTACATTGCTCATGTCTAATATAATATTTGAGGTATAATTTGCCATGGTATTTCTTTTTCTGAGTTAGTTGATGTTTTATTGAAGACATGAATCATTATGTGATTCTCTCCATTTAGGAAAAAATTTTCCATCTTTTTCAGTGGGGATTGGGCAGGTCATTCTCATCCAGGGTTCTCTAGTTTAGAATTTGTTCTTCTTAGTCTGAAGGAAGTTGTTGACTTTTTATGTGTATTATAAGGGCCTTCTTTAACTTCGTGCTTTGGTCTGGGGGTGTGATGATTACTAGAAATGGTGAAGTTATGTGATGGGGGAAATGCCTTTTATAAAACAAATTTTGGCAATTATGTTGTTTTCCCCTTAGCATTTTATTCATATGCATGTACTCAGAAGCATGCACAGAATATTTAGACATGTTAACATTTAGATGGAGCTGCTTTGATGGAACTTTATATTATAGAGTAAATTTAGGTTGTTGCTATTTTAATGTATATCTTTTTCTCTGAAGTTTTATAGTATAATGTTTCTTTTTTATGATAACCAGTTCAAATGTAAGCATAATATAATAAAACCTTAAGCTCGCAGTCTAGTCCTTGCAACACGAATATATATAGCAGATGTGTCAAAATATATGAATTGTTCTTAATGTTAAACTTTTGTTCGTGAGAATAACGTAACACCTGCTGTGACCTGCTAAGCTGTGTAAATTTTAATGACTGTAAAACTGAAATGTATTCATAGCCAAAATGTGTTTGGAAATTATTTGGAATGTCTTATGCTTGGCTCCTTTAGAGATTTTGTTATATAATATGTAGAAATTTAAATCTGCTATAAAAGTTGAAAATTATTATAACGTCTATGTTACTTAAAAGTTATCTAGAAAATTATAATACCTAGGTTACTTATATCTTTTCTTAAAAAAGTTATCTGTAGGGTAATCTCACCTCTGATGTGCCTTGCCTGGAAGCAACAGGAGTGTTATCTAATACTACACAAATTTGTTTCCTTTTAGCAGTGGCATTCTTTTAATTCTACAAATATTTTGATACCTTCTAAAAGTAGGTAGGATTACATTGGCATAGTAAATTTCCCAGGGTTATTAACTCCTTTTTCTCTCCATTATGTAAAAAATAGTAAGAAAATATAAGAATTATAAGGGTACTACTAGTTTATATTTGGTAGTATAGTAGTGGAAAGGGAATGATCCCTTTCCTCCCCATCATAAGGGTTATGGCCAACACTCCTATAACAAAATACAGAGTAATAAGAGAAAAGCATAACAAATCTGTTTAATTATAGTTTTACATGACACAGGAGCCTTCAGAGTGAAGACCCCAAACATATGGGACAACTATCCATTTTTCAGTGCTTAGGTTCAGTGAAAAATGGACAGCTATGTAGAAATAGGACTGGACAAAAAGGTTATGATCTAATATTAATAGACTGCATATAAAAACTCACCAAGACCTGTCTGTTCAGATTCTTCTTGGCCTCTCTCTTGTAATGTTTCTTCCTCCCAGGTATGGGACAGGACCCCTCTGATGAGGGTCTTATGACCTATATTATTGGGACAAGGGTAGGTCAGAGAATTTCTAGACAGAATTTCTGTCTAGGCCAGTTCCTAGACAGAAAGGTGAGGGGAAGGTTAGAGTAGTAATTGTAGTTTTTATGGCTGGCTTTGGAGAAGAGAGATCTAGTCTTTATTATCTGCTTTGGTGAGGAGGAATTCTGGTGTCTGTACTTGCTTTGGGGGAGAATGAGGGGCAAGAGACAGGAGGGCAGGAGAAGATGAGAGAGATCCAGGTTCTGAGGCTGCTTCTGATACCTTCCAGTGCAAAGTACTTTGTGTGCTGAAGTGCCATATTTTGGAGTATTGTTTTCTGAGCTCCAGCATTAGCCCTATTTGCCAGTAGAATATGGTGTGGCAAGTACTTTAAAAGAATGCTTTACATGCTTATTTTCTCAAGAGTATATACCGTGAGCTTTTCGGAATAGTTGGACCATCTGGGAATACGTAAAAAATAAAAGGAAAAGGACAAGAGATTATTGCATTTTGATTGGCTCCAAATTGTATTAACCCTTAATATTTATCTACTTTATAATTTTAAGATACTAATATTTGAGGAGATCTCTTTATTCGAATTACTGGTTTAAGATAATATTATGATATTAACAAGTCTCTTTTTTTCTCCTCACATCTTTTAGACCAGAGCAGACAGGCCAAGTCAGGCTGAGATCCTATTTATGATAAAAATCATAGAACTCTATGTAGTATTGATAAAACACATGAAGATTATATTATACTTAGCTTTTAATTATATTTTGACATTTGCTCATGTTTGATTTAGAACTTTTTTTTTTTTTTTTTTTTTTACTATGTCTTTTGGTCTCATCAAAAAGATTTTAAGATCCTTTTTATTTTGGCAAAAATATATGTAACATGAAATTTACCATTTTAACCATTTTTAACCATTTTTATTTTTATTTTATTTTTAATTTTTTTTGAGTTTGAGTTTTGTTCTTGTTGCCCAGGCTGGAGTGCAATGGCACGGTCTTGGCTCACTGCACCCTCACCTCCTGGGTTCAAGTGATTCTCCTGCCTCAGCCTCCCGAGTTGCTGGGATTACAGGCATGTGCCACCATTCTCCGGGCAATTTTGTATTTTTAGTAGAGATGGGGTCAGGCTGGTCTTGACCTCCTGATCTCAGGTGATCTGCCCACCACAGCCTTCCAGAGTGCTGGGATTACAGGTGTGAGGCACCGCGCCCGGCCACCATTTTTAGATATACAGTTGCTTTCATTTCTTATGTCTCTCTCTTAACACCAAGGTTATTAAGTAAGTATTTAAGAACATACAAGAGATGTTCAGTGTAGCAGAGATTGGCCAAATCCGTTTGCGCGTAATACACCTACTCTGCCCTAGCACCAATCTAGACTGTTTTTTGCAGCTGTCTTGGAGTTAGGTGTGGCCATACGACTGAGTTCTGGCCACTCACATGTGAGCAGAATTAACGCATGCCTCCTCTAGGCTTGGGTCATGAACATCTGTGTTCAGTGTTCTTTCTCTCTTCCCTTCTGATGGCAGTCATGAAACCAAGGAGATGGAAGAGCCTCTAAAAGGGAGGATTCTAGGTCCTTCAGTCACTGCCATTGAAAGGAAACATTGTTTTGACCTTACATGAGCCAGAAACAAAACTTTCATTGTAGTAAAGCACTAAGTTGTCATGATTTACCTCTCTCAGCAGCCAGCATTACCTTCACTGATACACTCAACAGTGATTTGAGTATGTAATTTAGTTTACTCAAAATATACTTCTCATTTCTTAGCAATTGGAATTGGTAGTCAGGAAAACTAAAGTTGAACTGAGGAGTGAGAAATTGGGGTGTGACTCCAGTTGGAGGAAGACTTGGTGTGGAACTCGATGAGATGAATAAAAGATAGAACAATTTGGAATGTTTTGTTAGGGAATTGATACAAAAAACTTAAAGTTAGCAGAGAGTTATGTGAATAAATTAGAGTAATTTTGGGAGTTGTAGGAGTAGGGGGGCATTATGAAATAAGAAAAGTCTCTGAGAGTTGGGATAGGATTTAAACACTATCGGTTTTTTTAAAAAGGAATTTTGCCACATTCCACATGCAGCTTGCAAATGTTTTTGCAATGACTGTCTTGACATATGTGATACTCAGAAAAAGGTGGAATGTTTAAATGAATAGAACTGCATACCTTATATATCTTGTTTGCTGGGAGTTAGATTCATTACTTGAATAATTTCCCTAATGAGTCATTCCCTTAGGGGAATTATCCCTAAGGGAATTATCCCCTTAGGGAATGACTTATCCCATGAAAATAATTGGATTATGGCTTGTTTTGTGCATATATGAAATCCAGTTTGTTGGACTTCTACAACACCTAAATATAGGTGAAATTTACCTTGTGTTTTGGACATGCAAAATATTGGATAGAATATTTAAAAAGAAAAAATTCATCAATTCATTTTGCTAGCATTTACTCTTCATAATTGAAGCTGAGGCTGGGTGCGGTGGCTCATGCCTGTAATCCCAGCACTTTGGGAGGCCGAGGCGGGCAGATCACGAGGTCAGGAGATCGAGACCATCCTGGCTAACACGGTGAAACCCCGTCTCTACTGAAAAAAAAAATACAAAAAAGAAAATTATCCAGGCGTGGTGGTGAGGGCCTGTAATCCCAGCTGTAAGGGTAGCAGCCTCGGGAGGCTGAGGCAGGAGAATCACTTGAATCCAGGAGGCAGAGATCGCAGTGAGCCAAGATCATGCCACTGCACTCCAGCCTTGGCGACAGAGAGAGACTGTCTGAAAAAAAACAAAACAAAACAGTAGATAGGTAAAATGTTTGTGGCTTTAGATAGCTTTTTTTTAAAAAAAACTTTAAAGTGAAGATTTAATAATTATAAATTAAAAATACACTACATGACTCACTTGATGTTTCCAATTTTCATCTCCTATGTAAGTAACGATACAGAGAATGCATACAATCGTTGGCTTGTGGACATCCATGTCCCCAGTTGTGTGTATGTTGGAAATGGTTATAAGACATGGGGATTTTCTTACCTCCTGTTCATAATTGCTTCAGCTACAGATCAGATTCCCTTCTAAACAAATGGTAAGAGACCACCTCAGCTGAGCCTTGGGTGGTGTTTTAGGAGCAATTGCTACTCTACTTGAAAAGGAAAGGTCCTCTGTTTTCTTATGCATAGCATCCAATGTAAAATGAATGTAGCTCTCTTCTTTGACCTTACTCTTATTTGCATACTTTAATGGGTGTAATCATAGAAATGTTGCATATTCAGCATAACTGGATTCTAACTTATAATTTATTTTAAAAATAAAAGTACTGTTAAAAGGAATTTGAGATTCCAGGATTTCTTACAAGTATAATGTACAATGTATGTTTTATGATCGAAATTAGCTGGACTTGAAGTCAAAAGAACTAGTTCAATAACATGTGTCTTAACTTGAAATCTTGGTTTCCTAATCTGTAAAATCACCAATATACTAGAATCTTGGTGTTAAAAGTAACCTATGGGGCAGTTTGATACCACCTTTAACTCAGAACTCAAATTTCTTTTATAACATCTTTGATATGTGGCCGTCCAATGATAGGGTGCTCAGTGTCTCATTCTTTAATCAGGTGCTTATAGCTTTGAAACTCTTGAGCATAGAATACTGATGGTAATATTAATATCTGACTTGTCTCTCATATGAAGTAAGGAGAATGAAAGCAAATATTAAAGTAGCAAGTAGTAGTTATACAGTGCTTTTTTAACTAATGACATGTGGGAACTAGTTACCATTTGTATTAATAATTTTTTAAAATGATAAACTAAATTTTAAATCTCTGACAATGACCATTGGAACCCAGCCTGTTTATCAGGTGGAGTCTGCCAGTGCTTCCAGTATTTTTGATACTACCTAGTCCTTGAAAATTAAAAATCTTGACCCACAATTTAAAAGCCACTGGGTATGACTCTTGGGAAGACATTTCGATTACCTAGTATACTAAAAGACTTTAATACAAATTGAAATTATATGGAAGTTACTTAAACATTTCTAAAGTAACACTAAACCACATTCTTTAATGTATTATGTGTCATGGGTAGCATTGCCTGGAAGAGGTAGCAGCAAGCTGAGTTTATGAAGGAAAAAAACTTCTGAGTGAGCTAAGGAGCTGGTGGGTAGAGTGTGGAAGATGGAGCAGACAGACTGAGATCCATCCAGGCCTGGGAGGGGAATGGGAGAGAGACCAGGGACAGAAGCCAGACTTGACACAATCCCTGAAGAAGATAAAAGAAAGTGATTTAATCACCTTCCAGATCTTACTTGCAAAAGGGCTACCTGTATTCTTTGGATGAAGTGTTAGTATTATTAGAATGACCCATTTTTACTTGTGTTAGCTTCAGTGGATCTTTGTTCCTTGTAACTGAAAGAGTTCTAATAGAGCACTAAGGTTAAAGACAAGTATCAGGGGTAAATATTTGGCTGAGGCCTGCTTCTGAATACTATTCTAGACATGACCTCTCCTCTTTTCGTTCTTTTTTCCACAACATCATTATAAAATATGAAGTAATCCTTTTTAATTTCTTGTCTTTCTGAATTTAAAATTCTATGTTAGGTATTCTCATTGCTTGATTTGTGTTTATTATAGAAATGAAGAGTTTGTTTTAAACTATGCATTACTCGAATTTCTGCTGAGGAAGTCCATATCCATATGTTAGGTTTTTTGCATCCCAAAGTCTTGGATTAGGTTTTGCCATCATTGTTAGTGTATCAATAGACCACTGCATTATTTTCTTAGTGGTATGTCAGTCTTTGACTTAATATTTGCAAGTATTTAATAATACCCCATACATTATAAATTAAATTGTATTTGGTACCTGCTAGATCTTATGAGAAATTATTCACATTTAATAAGAAAACAGCAACTTGTTACTTTTGTGGCAGATATGAGCTCTTAAAAGATGCAACGTAGGTAAATAAAAATGAGAATGTTTACCAGACCCACTAGGATCATTTGGTTCTGTAATTCTTATTTATGAACATTTTCTTACAGCTTTGTTCTAATTTAATTATCCCTATTCCCCTTTAGGTAAAGGATATCAGAATTGTGATTATATGAAGAAGAATTCTTCTTAAAAATCATGTATTCTTGGCAAATATTTCTTATTAGAAGCTTTTAAAACAGTCTTAATTTTTCCTTACAGACAAATTTTTCTGCAGTGTTGTCATTGATATAATCAAAATGGTTTCAGGTAGTTCAGAAATTGTTGACAGACTTAACTAAGAAAAACTTTTGATCAAATGGTGTAACAACACCTTTCCTGGACAAAGCCATCATTATTCTGTTAAATTTTCAGATCTTATATTCACATCCCATTTACCCTAAGTATTATCACTAAATGGAGTATTCAGTGTACACACATATCCTCAACTTGATTTTCCTAAATGGAAACAATTTTTTTTTCTCCACTAAGAATGGCTTTTTATTCATATGTGATAAAAAGATAAGTCATTTGGTAACACCTTTGAACCTGTTTTCAAAATAATGAAAAGTTTCTCTTCTAAAAATACTTTTTTTCTTTCCCTCGTTTATTTAACAAGAAGAGTTATTATGTAATGTTTTTCTGCAGATTTTTAGAAAAAGAATGATCTCTCTCCACTTTGTAGAGAATGATCCCATTTTTTGTTTAACACCAGATAGTATCATGACATTGTTAATACAGTAGGATTCACCCAGTTTGAAAGTATGCAGAATCAGACTTCTGTTGTTGGTCACATATTTCTCAATCAAAACATCTGTCTATGTCGAAACCAAAGTCGGCCCAGTATAATGAACTTTTAAGACCCATGTTAATATTTAAAAATATTTGGTAAACTGTAAAGCAGTATACAAAAGTGAATATTTTTATCCAAGGTGTAAATTGGTCATATGGCCCAATACCAGTAGCATAAAGGGAAGCCACTATACTAGTAGTGGGTGACCAAGTTTATTTCTGTTAAGCCAAAATGGAGATTTATTGTAGAAAATTATTAGTGGTACTTTCTGGATGAAGCCATTCCTTCTTAATGTAATTATGCCCAATTTCCTGGGTGGAGTCACAGTCTTTCTTCTAAAGACAGATTACTTCAAGCTTTAGTAGGGACTCTTAGTTCTGTCTTGAACTAACAATACCTTAAAATATTCTGCTTCTTCATGTCCCCAAAATATTGATCAGAAGGATACTTGTGGTCAAATGGATGCTGTAGAAATTCAAACCAGTGATTTTACTCCACTTGAAATTTAAAGGATTCATATGAGTTCTAGTTGAGTATGTCAGTTTTAGAACATAGTTTATATTGAGTAAACACAGAATATTTTACCTAAAAGGGTCACACAGATGTCATTACAGTGAATTTACTTCTGATTAAACTAATCTTGTTCCCTATATATTTTGATATATATTGTGCCATGATAACCAGTGTACTATTAGTGTTATTAAAGTCTTTCTTCAAATAGTAGATTTTTATAGAATTTTGAAGTAGACAAAATAAGTCAATTTATGTTTAGATTTAAAAAAAATGTGAAAGCTTTTCTATATTCTCCTCCCCGTGCCAGATAGGTGCTTGGCACAGAGTACTTAATAACTATTTAATAAATGACAGAATTTCTTTTCCTAAAATTTTTAGGACATATGCAAGGAAATTTCTCTTGCATCTAGGTTTACTGATGTATATGAGGAAGAGTTACATCTGCTTCAGTGAAATACAAAATTAAACCAGGTGATCTTTCTGAAAAATTATTCTTATGGTGACATATCAGAAATCTTATCAACAGCTATAGTTTATTCTGTTGGAATTTTCAAAATACACTGTGCCTTAACTTAGAAACACTCCAATGAACTTGTATTCATTAGTGTTTTGTTGAGTTAAAGAAAAAATATCTGTACAAAGTGGACACATTGTTTAATTTTGTTTTGCATTTTACTAGATTGCAGTGCAAGGCCAATAAATTAAACCTAGGCAGTTCTCTTGCTAATTACACACAACTTATCTTGAGTATCAGATATTCAAATCCATTTTATGAATATGGTAGAGAGAATAACAACTGTAAAACAAAGCAGTGTGCATGTAAGTGACTGTTAGCGTGCATTTCAGAAAGGATAAATGCTCACCATATGGTACAATTACTGTGTCCAAGTTTTCAAATTAGCTTCTCTCATCCTCCTTATTACTGTCTTTAAAAAGAGAGGAAAAAACCCAACATGATTTATCTACTCTGCAGCAGAACTCTTGACGCAAAACAGCAGCCCAGTTCTGTCCAGTTTTTTTTTCCCTTAGCATAATAGAGGCTGTCGGACTTTTTTATACTAATTACTGTGTGAGCCTCAGATGAACCCCCTTCAATTCACAGGGCTTTGTTAAGGGAGGAGCTGTCAATGTGTCTGCCCGTTTGCAGCTGTGCTGTGGCTTTAGCTTGCTTAACATTATGCTGCTTTTTAGACTTGACAGAAGGGATTTTTTTTTTTTTTTTTTTTTTTTTTTTATTAAGGCAAAGCAGCCTTGTAGCGAAATGGTTTAAGCAGCTGCATTGTAGGGAAGCACAAAGAAGTTATTATTGTGTCTGTTTAGGGGGGTAGGATGGAGGGGGAGATATTCGGCTGCTGTTGATGCCGATTGTTGACTTGCCATCTGCCAGATAGGGAGAAGAAAAAAATGACAGCTCCAGCAGGGTGTTCAAGAGGTTGTTTGGAGAGACGCATAAACATGTGCAGATGTCGAACTGAATAATGGCTAGAACTTGAGACGGTTTATGATGCTGCTGATGTTTGTGCATATACAGAATGAATGTATGTGTGGATTTGGTTAACCAAGGGTACATACTAATTATCATTGTTTTCCTGCATCCCCCCTCCCTTATTTCGTTAATTAGTTTAGGGGTTTAATACTTCCTCTTCTCTCCCTTATTCATGTCTAGTTTTAGAAAGCAACTTCTTTAAATGGCAATACAAAGTTTCTTATTTCTCCGTGTTGATGGTAGATAACCTGTTTGGCTAATGTTAGGTGTGTACTGCTAACTGCCAAGAGGAGCTTTTGATGAAGGAATCAGTCAGGTGATTTGGTGTGATCTTAATGCATACATGAACGTTTTAACACTAGTCGGCACATAAACTATTTTAAACTGAATCGATTTGTTTCATAGCCTACCACTAGGGGTGAGGTAGAGAGTACCCAGTTTATTTTGTAAGTAATTCCATAATACTTTGAACTTAAATGTCGTTAGTTGTGAAACAAAGTTATATAGTAACCTGGCCTTTTTGATCAGTACATACTCTTTTTCTCATGGTTGTCATGGATTCTATAAATGACAAGCGTGCATTTTTATCAAGCATTAATGAGTTGGTTGTATATTTCCTTCTGATACATTCTTGACATTAGGTGTTAGAGATTTGATATATCTGGAATGTTTTCAAATGCTGTGATAACATTTATATTTAGATGGAAGTGAGCATGTTTACTTAAATGTCTGGTTTATTACTTTCACCTTAAATAATTGAGAAGAAACAGTGACCTTAGGTAAAAATTTTCCATATTACTTATTTTCTAGAACACCAAAAATTTTTGTAACATTTCAGAACCAATCAATATGAATGGAATAACTAGAAAACAAAAAAGAGAAGCTCTGACTTTTCTCCTTTTTTCTTTTTTCCGCCCAATGTGGACTTAACATTTCAAAAAAAAATATGTGTGGAGAATTAAAAAGTGCTTATGTTGACTTTTGGAACTCATGCCTTCCTAAAACATTTAAGGTTTTGTTGCATAATTATCAAGCAGAAATTGCCCAAAGCATGGTTGAAAGGCCAACGTACTGACAGAGCTTCGTGTCCAGAGTAATGTCTTTCTGAAAGAATTAAAGGAAGGTTATCTGTTATTTTCTGCTTTTCATAAAGAAATAGAGGTCAGGTCTATCTAGAAAAAACTTTCTCTCTCACCGTCAGTTTTTACTCAAGTGACTCTAATCCGTGTTTGCTGAAAAGGCATAGAAAATCATCAGCCACCTTGACTTTTCCTTTGTCTCATGTATTTATTTCTTTTATATAGGTGGCCGTGAATATATCCATATTTGTGTGTAGGATTATGTCCATGTATTTACAGTTTCATAGTCAATCCTAATATCCCTACCAAGTTTGGAGGCGAGCAGTATGCCATTTTTTAAGTAGAAGGTGTTTGTTATTAAAGTGAGAGGGTATGGTTTGTCAGTGGTCAGGATATTAATGAGTGACTGGGAAAAGCAAGCTTATACCAACTTTTATACACAAGCAAACTTGCAGGTCTATGCTTTATTAATGATATGTTACTTCTGATTCTTTCAGAGCCATTTGCTAAATCTTAGTAGTACAGGCAAGTATACATATTAAGGTGATTGAAATATTAAAGGCAGAATGTCTTTGAAGTTACAAAGACCAGATTTAAATATCACTTAACTTAGATGAGTGAATTTACTCATAGTCACTTAAACTATTTAAATGTGAATTTCTTCATCTTTTGAAAGAAGGAAACAATACTTGCTATTCAAGGATCTTGTGAAAACAAAATGAGATAATATATTTAGAATGTCTTGAATGAATTCAGTAGTAGCTGTTAGTATTTTTATTAGGTGTTATGTGCAAGTCTAGAGCTCTGTAGCTATTACAATTGGAGTATTTATATAATGCTCTGACTATCATAGAATAAGAATACCAAGCTGTAGAGGCTGTTTGAGAGAATGGTCACAGATAGAAGGTTGTTTCTTGGAACCTTATGTTTATTTAGGGATATATGATTGTTTTATAAATGTGGAGGGAAATAAATTATTTAAAGAAAATATAAAGAAAACAGTTGGATAAAAGTATTTCGGATGTATGGTATTAGTGGTTATTTAGTGATGATGATTTCAAATTTTGTTCTTTTGTTTGTTTGTTTTTGAGATGGAGTCTCACTCCGTCACCCAGGCTGGAGTGCAATGGCATGGTCTGAGCTCCCTGCAACCTCCACCTCCTGGGTTCAAGGGTTTCAAGCGATTCTCCTGCCTCAGCCTCCCGAGTAGCTGGGACTACAGGCACGTGCCACCACACCTGGCTAATTTTTGTATTTTTAGTAGAGACGGGGTTTCACTTTGTTGGCCAGGCTTGTCTGTAACTCCTGACCTTGTGAACCACCCGCCTTGGCCTCCCAAAGTGCTGGGATTACAGGCGTGAGCCACTGTGCCTGGCCAGCTGATTTCACATTTTGTTCTACAAAATTATTTTTCATACTTAAAAAAGTAACCTCAGTTTATTTTGGAGCTGAACTTTTCTCTGCTACGGCCAGTACTTAAGCTGTATTTGGGTTATTATCTTTAAAATGAGACTTTGGAACACCTAGCTAAAAATAATATTTCTTCTCCTCATGGAGGTTTAAAGCATTATTTGATTGTCACAACTCTTTATTTTGCAGATGAAGAAACTAATTAAGCTCACATAGGGATGAAAGTGCTGAGATAAGCAGAAGTGTTTTCTTAGAGAAGTAAAGAGGATATGGCTTTGGTCGACATGAGGAAGTCAGTAAACCTAAAAGTATGATTAATTCCCATACAGATGTAGGTGGTGGTTCTTTACATTTTTCTTTTCAAATTGTTTTCATCCGGCATTCCACGCTAGTAAATATTACTGAATAATTTTGGATGATGAGTCAAGGGTTGTTGTACCTGGGAGAGCCACCTAATTTAGTATTTAAGAGTCTTTCATAGGACGGGGTATAGTGACTAAGAACTTCTATTTTGGTTTAAAAGAATAAATTGGTTACACTAGAAAAATAACGCTCACTTTTGAATGGAGTGCTAGTAGCTTCATATAAGGATATTTTAATGTTTAATGGCACATGGTGATGGATGCCAGTATTTCTAGACAGATAGTTAAGTGTTACAGTCTAAATTTATAAACAAATAATTTTTGTTGTTTTTTATAAAAAACAACTTACAGTACCAAAGAAGTGGAAATATCCATAGCCTATGAAATATATCACAAATGAGGATGAAACTGTAAGGACATTTTCACAAATAAATGAAACCGTACTTGGTATATTTTCAGGATAATTCAGAAAACTTCAGAAACTTCTAGCTTTAATGTATATTTGAATTGTGCCTCATCAAAATACTGCATGAATAGCAATTTTTAAAAATATTGGCCAGTATGTTGAAAACAGAGTATTTCACTGTCTGACATATTGTTTAAGGCATCTTGCTAAATGTTTTGGCTTAAATTTTTTAATGTGTTTTAGTTCAAAAAAATCTGATTAAAGATGTGGGTAAACGTGGTAGCACTTTTTAGAACAGAAGATGATTAAGATACAAAGGCAGGAAAAGCATAAATCGTGAAGTTTGTCTATTTTTTTGGCCAAGCAAGTCACTTATTTGCTTGAGACTGGAACACAGCATCAAAGTTCATAATTTTATACTTCTAAGGAAGAACGCATAGAACAGCAGTTGTTGTTTCCTGGCATCTTTTTGAAGAGATATTTAAACGTAAGTATATATATTTATTATAGAAAAGAATTTTATAAAATGACCTTCATTCCCTTCCCTGAATTTGTAGTATGTTCAACTGTTAAGCTAGTTCCTTTTACCTTTTGATTTAGTAAAGAAGGATTTTAAATAGAATTTAAATTTTTATGATCTTAAAATATCCATGATATTATATACTTTAAAAAGAATAAGACTGTTTAGTAGTTCAAATTTTAAAAATCTAATTTATTCAAAGTTATGCTAAATAATGGCATAGTTCCTGAGTGGAGAACTACTATACTTTGAATTATAGAAGCAAGGACTTTTTTGAAAAAGTAAATACAAAACCTAAATAAAACACATTTTTACTAAATGGCAATCAGTGTCATCCACGTGAGATCTTGCTGTGTCAAAGTAAATTTGCTGTTTACCTGCTTGTAATAATTTTTATCTTCCTTCAATAGAAGCTCTTTTTTTTTTTCTTTTAATGCTAGGTTTTGTTTTTTTTTTTCTATATGGGAGAAGTGGTGGGACCTGGAAAGTTGGATAGTTACTAATTAACTTGTATGTAAAACTCTGACATAAAGATTAGCACTTTTTATATTCTTAAAGTAAAGGTCTATCATACCACTGGATTATATAGGGTAAGTTACTCAGTGTTTTGTATATAAAAAAAAAACTTTGATAAGTGAATGCTAGAAAACTTTTCCTTTCTGTGAAATAGCAAAAGGAATAAAACACCCAGTGTACATTGATTGACTTAGATTCTAGAATGGATAATCCTTATGCTATGTAAAGATTCTTAGTGTAAGAATCAGTTATGAAAACTCAGTGAGTGCTTCAACTCCACATTGCCAATTTGTCATTTGCATTATATTTCATTAATAAATGAGTGATTTGTAACAAACGAGTGTATTGGTATTGGCTGCTTTTAAGAAGACACTTTGGAACTGAATTGTTATCCTCCTCAAATTACTTTGTCTTTACTGAAAGATTGTATATTTAGATGTCCTGCAGTTTTTAAAAACAAATTATTCTACAGAGAGCAAAACAGGAACTTAGATTATTTATGCAATGTAAAATTCTTATATACTTTTTTATTTTATTGTATTTTGGATGACTTCAGTGATACTGATGATTCCATGCATTTTCCTTCCTGATGCCTTGGTTTTAAGAAAATCTTTCCTTTCAAAGTCACTGGAAACATTTGAAAACAGCATTATTATGCTTACTGAGGTACAGATAATGATGAGGAAAGAAATATGTACGTATAATGAGCAAATATGCCCATTTCATTTTAAGAAATTTGTTTTTATTAGTATGATAGGTAAAGATTGTTTTCTGAAATTTCTATGTGTTAGGTAATACTGCCCTCAGAGGGCCAAGGTAAGTAAATTCATTTTTAACATTGAGAAGCAGCTTTTCTATTTATATTATCTATAAGCTTTCTTTGGGGAGTACTCAAAATTATTTATTTGAGTAATTGAATAGTGTTTGATTTGTGGTTGCATTTCTTTGATTTGTTGTGTTCTTTTAAAATGTTTGTGCCCTTCAATTCGACGATATCATTTAAACATGTTCAGTTCTAGTCTAAGAAAATGTTAACATGACTGGCCATAAATTGTCAAATTAGATGGGTTCATAGAGAGTATAAGAAAATTACCTGGAAAAGTTAAGATGATTTTACTTGGCGGGTGCGTTTTAGTTTTTGTGTCTTTGATAGCAGATATTCTAGTATTCAAAATTATTTGAAGCCACACTTTTTAATATAGAGCAGTATTCATTAAAATGGAAGCATAGATTCCCTTCAGTTTTAAAAACTTAAGCATAATCACATCTTTCAAATATAATATGAATCAAGAGTAATTTACTTTGCTGTATATGCAGTGGCTATGTATAAATATACTAGAAGTTGAAATACACTTATTCCTGTGCACTTATAAAAGCATACGTTTTTAAAGTAGAGGTAAAGACCTGATATTGATGTGTGACTTAACACTTCTTTGAATTCAGAATATTGGGGATTAGATGATGATTAATTTTTGTAATAAGAAAGGAAGAGTGGGGAAGGCCTGATGTCAAAATAATGAGGTGTTCAGCATCATGCTGTATATCCATGTAACAAACCTGCACATGTACCTTCTGAATCTAAAATTAAAAAAACCCAGAATAATGAGTTGTGTCCTTTTTTCTTTTTGTATGGAGTAACTTTCTTATAATTTGAAAGAAACATTGCAATGTTTAGTAGTAAATTCAGTGGAAGGCTTTTGATTTTTTTGCCCTATAGTTAGTTGTTATTGAATTAAGAAAGATGATTTCTGTGACAGTTGGTATTGTCAGTCTTTCACTAGAGATTTCAATGAGTTAAACATAAGCGACACTCAGTTCATTATTCTTAGTAATGAGGGATGAAGACAGGACATAAGCAAAGTGAATAACAAAAATAGAAATTTTATCCACAAAAAATCAATACCTCCTTTGCTCAGCTAATGTGCAATAGTGATAGTCTAGACAAATTAAAGAAATTCCATTTTATTTTAAACACTCTAGTTACTTTTGTGTAGTCTAACATATTGTACATATTAGGTACTCACTAAATCTCCTTTGATTGGTTTCCTTAGCCTTACTCTGAGATGTTTTATTCAGTTAACAAATGCTTACATAATGCTTGCAGTGAGCTAGATGTTGTTCTACATGCTTTACAAACTTTAATTTATTTCTCCATTATTATTGTCCCCATTTTCCAGAAGAGGAAGCTGAGACCCAGAGAGATTAAACAGCATTCACTGTCTCTCACACAGCTAGTGAGTGACAGAACTGGCATTTGAACCCAGGCAGTCCAGCTTGAGAGTGTGCGCTCCCAACCACTCTTTGAATCTTAACTCTGTCCTTTACTAGCTTGTCCCAGTGTCTCAGAGCCTCAGCATGGCTCTCTGTGAAAAGTGAGAATACTGCAGCACCAGTCTCAGTGTTGCTGTGAAGAGGGCTCTGTAAGTGAAGCCTGAGCACAGTGCCTGGCTGAGGACATTCATGTTTCCTTTTCTTCCTTGCTCTTACCTCTTCTTCCTTTCACCACTTAACATGCTGTGGTACAAGACTCAATCAGTACATTGTCTAAGGAGAACAAAGGAGGGAAGAGAGGAGTTATGAAGGGCATGGATTCATCCTCAGAATAGTGGAGCTCTCGGTTTGATGCAGTGCCATTTTAGGGTCCATACTACTAGACTTTTCTTAGAGGAAAAACTCCTTGGTAAGAGTCTAAGATAAAGTCCTATTAGTTTTTATTCTGTAGAGCATTGATGTTAGTATAGGAGTGGGATGGGTGGGTTGAACCACCTGAGAGTTTTTTCAGATGGCACAGACCACCTCCTGATGAGCAAGCACTACAGCCTGCCTTCTCTGCAAACTCCCAGTTAGTGCTGTAGTGAGGCACCATTATTGTTATTTGTCATATCCATCAGGCATGTTCTAACAGAAAAGTGGATTGAACCATACGAGGTTGTGTTATAGAGAGACTTCTCTGTTTGAGAGAGCTTTTCTGACAGGAGTATAGTCTTTATTTCAAATGGTGGTAGGTTTATTTAGTCATTGAATTAATGGTTATTGCCCACCTCTGTGGTAGTTTCTTGCGTTATGGACTCACTGCTTCCATATTTGGTATTCATTAAGGTTATTTACTGCAGTGTATATGCCATGTATGATATTATATTTAGATAATATAAGGTGGTAAAATGGGAAATATTTACAATAAGGAAGTTTTAAAGTTTCTGATGAAATTATATTTTTAAATTGGTCTATATTTATAATAGTTTAAAATTCTATGACTACTTTTTGAAAATGGTGCAAGAATGACTTTGTGTTAAATCCGGTGTGTGGAACTGGAAACTCTGCTCTAATGCAGTAAACAGATTTTTAAAAAGAAAGCTCTGCTTTCACAGCCTACAAGGGTGCAGATGTAAGCAAAATAATAACTTAGCTCACACTTAACCCAGCAGGAGGCTGCGTACAGATTGAGTAATTCTCCACAACATACCTACTGCTATGTAAACTAAAGTCACCGTTTATTCTTCATTAAATTGCCAGGATGCTTTCTGTTGGCTAGTCCGTGTGGATGCTTTGTTCTCTGTGTCTCCACCCAATGCCCCTGTGCCTTCCTTACTCACCTTGCTTTTCTCTTAGAGTAAAACTGGGTACTGTAACTCTATTAAGATGTTATTGTGTTTAAGAGAATAATTTAAAAGCATCACTTTGGTTAAAAATGTAATGTTTCCTAAAAACAAGTGGAACAAGGATTTGATTAGTCAATTTACCGAATATCATGAAACAAATACCAGAATACTTAAGGGTAGATGATAATTATGCAGTTTTCTGGAAAACAAAAGAAAATTGTAAAGCAGATAAAAGTACTAACAAACCAACCATACTGAGATCTTAGAGAAGTTGCCATTCTAACATCTTGTGGTTGGTATTCAATGCATAGGTATTTTTCTCATCATCTCATCAGCTTCAAAGCAAAACATGGACCCCAGCTTTCTTTAGGAAGCCGATATGAAAACTATACTTCATAATATTGCTTCTCGGACTTTTGGCTAAGATGAAGTGAAAACTGTACTTAATGTAAAAATGACAAGTTCATGCATTATGCATTAGAATGAGAGTTTCTTGACTATAATATACTTTTCAAAATAATCATGAGGGAACATATGTGGCAAAGCAGAGGAATGTGGGTACATCTGGAAAGCCTTTAAGACATCTCGGAAGCACAACACAAAATCACGAAAATTGTAAACACCTTCCGTGTGGCCAGCTGCAGTGGCAACATTGACCAGTCCAAGAGCAGACAAACATCTCAGTGACCCAGAGTTTACCGGGTGAAATAACCATAAAGAGAAATTCAGGTGTTTAAAAATCTGACCTTATTAATCAATATTATGCAGAAATCAGTGAGAAAGACAAGAATGGGCAATAATCTTAAAACCTGAAACGTAAAGATGTGTTATTTATTATTCTAGATGAAAGGGTAGTAAAGCTATTGCCTTGCTTTTGCTTGTGTTATTGTGAGGCTTCAAGGAGGAATGCAGGATGATGCAGTGCCTCATCTTGGAATCAACATAGCAGCAAATCGAAGAATCCTACGCTGATATTCTTCCCAGTCCCTTCCCCACAGTTAGACGTCAAACCAACAAATATCATCGACTACCTTTTTCTGAATCCACATGAGATGCTATTTAGAAATGCCAAAGAATAGGGGCTATTGCCATCCCCAGTATGACATTCTGGATCACTAAGAATGGTTAAAGAAATGGGAGAAATTTTCACTTAAAATTTTAATTAGTCAACTCATCCCCTTTTCTTCTCCACCTCTCACAGCTGCCTACTAGACTTAAAGCTCCACGAGGGCTGGGACTATGCTTGTATCATTTATTAAAGCTCCATGAGGGCTGGGACTATGCTTGTATCATTTATTGCTGCCTTCTTAGTACTTGTACATATTTTGACACTCACCGAGTATTTTTGATTGAATAACTGTTAGCCCGTTTTTCTTAAATCTAAGTAAAGATGTTTAAAGTGGCTTTTTTGATCTAGGTGGTCTTGAGCAGCAGCACCTTAAAATGAGTGAGCTGGGCAGGAGTTCATAATGCTTAGACATTGCTCAATTTTCACAGACTATCAACACACATCCAAAGCTGGTTGATGACAAGTGGTCAAAGACATTGCATAGACATCAGAATAGAATTTAACACTTTTCAGTTGCCTGAGGGCAAGGAAAGAACATGTTTCAAGACTCAATAAAAGATAAATGATAACCTAAAAATTCAGGTTTTTAGGAGTTGGAAAATCTAATCAATATATGTATTTAATAAGTACCTATAATATGCAAAATCACTTTAAAAAGTTACATTTCATATTGTCCCTGTGCAGTTGAAAACTTACGCTAGTTTATTGCAATGTAGATAATATGAACAAAATTCTTCAGGATATTTTTCTTTTTCTTTTTTTTTTTTTTTTTTGAGATGGAGTCTTGCTGTGTTGCTGAGATTGGAGTGCAGTGGTGCAATCTCGGCTCACTGCAACCTCCCGCTTCCTGGGTTCAAACAATTCTCCTGCCTCAGCCTCCCGAGTAGCTGGGATTATAAGGGCCCCGCCACCACGCCCGGCTAATTTTTATATTTTTAGTAGAGACGGTCTTGCCATGTTGGCCAGGCTGGTCTCTGACTCCTGGCCTCAAGTGATCCGCCTGCCTCAGCCTCCCAAAGTGCTGGGATTACAGGAGTGAGCAACCACGCCTGGCCCAGGATTATTTTTAAGACATCAATAAAACATGGTTATGATAAGTTGAGTGAGAAGCACATTTCTTTGATTCTCTAAGAGACATGAATAGGCTTCCACTCAGAACTAATTGTACTCCTCTGTATAAAACTGTAATCAGTAATTTTAAATACTGCAAATGTCTTATTATATTTATTGTCATGCATTTCTTCAGCAACTATAATTGATTACTGATATTTAAGATGTATCACATAATTATGGACTATACAGTATTTTTTGTGCTAATATTTATTTATGAAATCCATTAGTAGAAAAGATTTTGCCATATTCTTTTAGGTAGTTCATATGTGAAAATTTGGTGTCTGTCAACAGGCAACTAAATATTTACTACATTGTGAATGATGAAATTAAATAGATTTTATGCTGAAATTAACATTGTATCTGTTTTTGTCTTAGGTAAAAATTGGCTCATGAAGACTTTTATTTAAGGAGTATTGCCAAAGATAGTTTCTTGAAGCATGTACATTTATTTTTACTGAAAACTGCCTTTTTCTGGTTTAAAGCTGCTCTTTGAAAATTCATAAAATGTTTATATTTTTATGGTACTGTACATTTGTGTGTATCATTTATAAAAATTCAGAAGAATCTGACTTCTGCTCTTTTCTTTGGAAGACTAGTTTACCCCTCTGATATCCTGATATTCAAAAGAACTAAAAGTATTAGTCAAATTAATACTGTGTTTAGATGTTGGATAACCTCTTCATTTCCTTACATAAAATACATGTTTTATATACCTGACACTAGCCAAAGAGACTTAAAAAATTCATCGTTGCCTCATTTATGTAAATACTTCTGAATAAGTGCAGTACTGATTAGTAGAACATTTAATGTGTGGTTTGTAGTTGGATTATAAATTATATTATCATAAGTGGTATTAGTATTAGTATCACTTGCTAACAACCAAATCAAATACTTGAAATATGTCAGGTAATGTTCTAAGGGCTTTTTACATTATGTCCTTACAAAAACCCTTTGGTGGATAAAAACTATGATTTCTGTTTTTCAGATGAGGACCCTGAGATGTAAAGAGGTTAGGTTCATGCATCTAATAAATGATGTGATTAGGATTCAAACCCAAGCTGTGTGACTCCAGAGTCCTTGCTCTTAACCATTACATTGTTCTGCCTGGAGCATTTTAATGATGAGGTTGAGTGGGAAAGAAACTGAAGGCTAATTTGAGAAGTTTGTTGACCTCGTATTGATCACAACAATTTGTTGTACCTTTTGTTACACAACATAGCATTGGTTTAAATTAAAATTTCTTTTATTCTGAAAATGTGACCACATGCTTTTCACATTGACAGTATGGCCAGCTTTTTTTTTTTTTTTTTTGCATAAATTCTATGGCTCTCTCCCTCTGTAAATAATAAAGATTGCGAAAGAGGTTATTTTTTCATTAACGCATGCATTAAGTATAGATGTAATCTATACATTTTTTTCTTCAGAGATGTATAAGGACAAATAATCATACATGGTAAAAACTTTGTGACTTTGCTTGTGATTAAACATGAAAATTAAATATTTAAAATACAGCATTCTGAGGAAAGCTGAGCTTATACTTGTTTTAGCTTTATGATAAAACAGTAACATCTATTCCTGACATACATGTGAGGATGCTCCCACCGTCTTCCTTATGCAGTGATTAGCTTTGAAGACTATGTTACAACAAGTTTGAGTGAGCATTGGTATCTTAAAAAGCTAGCACCTGTATCGGAAAATTAGAATTTTTGTTTGTTATGCAACTCTTGATAATTAGGGTCTTTTTTTTTTTTTTTTGCATTTTTTCTTAGGTAAGAAGCATATTTTTAAAATGGTGATTGTGTTGTTTCTAATTAAATTCTAAATGAACTAAATGAATTTCAAATGAATTTTATGGGATTTGTGAAAAATAGTGCTATGGTTTTATAGATTTCTTTTCAATTGGATTGTATCTATATTTGTTTAGTTACATCTCAGTGAATCTACCCGATTGTGTTTTTAGCATAGTCCATGACAGTTGAAGGTAGAGATGAGTATTTCTGCAGTATTCTCAACCAGTACCCAGCTCACTTCACATCTTTCTACCTTTCATGAAGTTAGAATTAGAACTAGGTTCTGGAACACAATGTAGCCTTAAAAAGGTATCAGATATTCATCAACATGATCTATTTGTGAGGTCACAAGGCTGAATTATTTCTGAAGATCTTTTCCATTTGCATGTCTGAACAAATCTAGATATTCCTTAGTTATTCTAGATGAAAGACTATTTGCACATTTTAATCAATCACTGTTTAGTCCAGAGATGTACACTTCTAGCTTCTGCCTTGGCGCTTACGACTTCAGCTTTTACACTTACGACTTAAGCTTTTAAAAAATCAAAATGTGATTCTCAGTAGAGTGTTGATGAATAATGAAATAAAATGTTTATATATGGACTAATTTAGGTTGAAGATTATTAAGTAAAAATACAGTTTGTTGTTATCAGGTGAATGGTAGGAAGTGAACACTGTCAACTTTTTGGTGAGCTCTGGTTTGAGAGTATATAATTCATGATAAAGATGATTTATTTGAATATCCTATCCAGATCTTTTAGGTGGAAAGTGAGCATGAGTCTAAACTCATACCAGGTCCCATCTCAGGTTGTTATTAAAGACTAAGCCTGGCCGGGCGCAGTGGCTCACGCCTGTAATCCCACCACTTTGGGATGCCAAGGCAGGTGGATCATGAGGTCAAGGGATCGAGACCATCCTGGCCAACATGGTGAAACCCTGTCTCTACTAAAAATACAAAAAATGGGTGGGTGTGGTGGTGCGCACCTGTAATCCCAGCTACTCGGGAGGCTGAGGCAGGAGAATCGCTTGAACCTGGGAGGCAGAGGTTGCAGTGAGCCAAGATTGCACCACTACACTCCAGCCTGGTGACAGAGCAAGACTGTGTCTCAAAAAAAAAAAAAAAATAGACTAAGCCTGAGGTCCAAAATAATGCAGTATTTTTACTCAGCTGTGGAAATTCAGGATGTTTTCTATGGTCAAAATTTACTCAAAATCATTGAGATCGTTTGTTTTAACTACAGGGAATAAGTTATTAAGTGAAGTAAGAAAGGTGGCAAAGGTCCAGAATCTGAAGTTATTAGGACTAAGTAAAACCATGAATTCTAGCAAACAGTTTCTTCCACCCTCATAATTTACAAGTAGGATTCTCTACCATTTACAGTAGTAATGTGGATTTTCCTCTTTGCATTCAGAAGGTGCTAACTGAATCTGTACATGTCCTATGCCAAGAACTCAATGAGTAAGTAGTAGTTTTTAGCTCTGTTAGCAAGCCATTGGTCATAGTGTTTAGGAGCTGTATTTCCTAGGACTGCTGTCACAAATTAATAAAAAGTGGGTGGCATAAAACAACAGAAATTTATTCTGCCACAATTCTGGAGGCCAGAAGTTAGAAATCAAGGTGTCAGCAGGTTCACACTCACTGAGAAGGCTCCAGGGGAGAACCCACTTGTTGTCTCTTCTTGCTTCTGGTGGCTCTAGGTGCTCCTTGGCTTTTGGCCCATAGTTCCAATCTTTGCTTCTGTGGCCACGTTCCCCCTTCCTTTTCTCTGTGTGTTCAGTTTACTCTTAAAAGGACATTTGTAATTGGATTTAGGGCTTACCTAGATAATTCTCCAGGGGAAAAGTCCATCTTCTCAGAATCCTTAATTGTTAATCACATGTGTTGCCATATAAAGTAATAGTCATTCTTTTTTACCATAAGGTAATATTCACAGGTTCCTGGGATTAGGGTGCGTACATCATTCGAGGGTCCACCACTCACCTCACTACCAGAAGCCAGTATACCAGAATCCTTGCTGGGAAATGTATTTGTTTTGGTATTGATAACAGCATACTTCAACATAGGTATAGCTTCCAGCAAAAGAGTGTGAGAAAGAAGTGGAAGCACCCATGAAGATTATATATATATATATATATATATATATATATATATATATATATATATAGTGGAAGAGGTTGGGTTGGAAGTCTTAACCAGTTGTGACTGCAGTGCTTGCTGAAGGTTTATCTTGACGATACATTTACTATTTGGATGTATATTGGTGGGTGTCCATTGAACAATCTCTTTGGGATACTTGGTACATCATAAATGCTTCTTTTTTGACAAGACTTTCCATTTTAACCAGGTTGTGTTTTAAATTGGTTAAAACCTATGGGCCATAAACATAAAAGTATGATGCAATTTGGGTTTGATGCATCATGTGTAAACTTAGATGCAAATTCTGTGTTTAAAATAAAAGATTGACTTTTAGCAGTCCGTCTTAAAAGGATTGGTGGCAGGGAGTGTACTTTGTTCTGGGTACTTAGCCTCATAAAAGCTAGGACTTTCTGTCCATATTTTAGAACAACCTGACAACACGTGCCTTATCTGAACTCACACTGCCTCAACTTCTGAGCTAGAGATGAAAGTGTTCAGTTCCTTTTCGAACAGCTAGGCACCTGAAATCTGGTATAATACTGGAATTAAGCTCTATTAAGTTGTCTTTTTTTTTTTTTTTGGTCCAGCCTCTGTAACAAATTAATAATGAATGCATTCTAAGCATCTTCTCAGAAAGTTAATTCATATTATAGGTGAAAAATGACAAGAAAATAGATTTAGTAGTCTTTATTGGAAGTTTGAGATCTACTTCTGGCTTAGTATCACAGTATAATTGTTGATTAACCAAATCAATTTAAAATTATTTAAAAAGTTTGTGAGAAATAATACTTTTTTAAGGAAGAAGGGAAATTCTTTAAAATTTTTCTTCTATGTGAGTGAGTACATCACTATCTTGGTATACTGTATTACGTTTGAAGGATGCATAATACATTTATTTTTAAATAGCTTTTTGGCAACCAGAAGTCCTGCTATAGATCATAGAAAATATTTTAAAAGTTTAAAAATCTGCTTAATAAAAAAGATACAAGATTTATATAATGATGTTTTTGTGTTTTTCATCTGAGGATGTACATAGAGGGAAATTATGCTTAGAAATGAAAATTTGATTTCTTTTAATTTTACATTTCTTGAATAAGTGTATTCAGTACTATTTTAAAAGAAGAAGAAATGGTGTTATTCCGTGTTTTCTTTTGTATTTTTCAAATGGATCTGATTCATTTTATTTTTGGTATAATTATTAAACTATTGTGATTTACCTTTACAGAGTTACAGCATATTGTACCAGTATAAATCTCTTATTGCTGTACAACAACATTTGAAGTCTAAATATGTCATTAATTGGAGAATTAATACCTAATGATTTTGAATTTTATATAGGAATAAATGAAATGGAAAAATAAAATAAGAGCAATTAAGGAATTATTTTATTTTTCAACGTGGGAATTGTGTATTAGGCATTCTAGTTTTATAAATTGCCTTATTAAGTCATGTGCTTATTAATATTAGGGCCGTCTTTTTTCAGTAAAATAAAGTGAAGAGCATCACTTTTTTTTCTTTTTTCTTTAAATTTCTTTTTTGCCCTTACATACTTATGTGGAGGATACTGATCTACGTATCCTCTATTTATTCATTTGTTTAATAAATCATGATTGAGCATTAAGTGGTGGGCACCAGCTTGGGCATGTAGAGTATTATCACCTCAAGGAAAACAACTGACAGTATATGCTGTCACTGATGGAAATTGAGCTTTTAAGCAAAGATTAAATTTGGGAAAACAGATCTCTCGTTATGAGCTTGTCAGCTTTCCAATGTTTACTTTTTTCATGAGACTGGTATTGATAACAAATGTGATTGTATAATGAAATGTGTCAACATTAGGAAGATCAGCATAGCACGATAAGCCAGGGTTTTCTATGTGACCAATGCATAATGTTATAAAATTATAGACAGTGTTAAAGATTCATTCAAAGTCCAGTATAGATCAATGGATTTTCACATAATAGTACAGAAAGTTCATTGTTAAAAGTTTCAAGTTCTACATTGCAACTAACCTTTTAGAAACTAACCCTTGTTGAATTCTGGTGTAGTATCAAAGAATGATATCCATAACTATCTGAATATTTTTCCCTTTTTCAGCTTCATATCTCTTTGAGCCAGATTTTTTCCCCCTAAATTTAAACCAAAACAACATACTGCAGCAGGATGTTGAAGGCAGGAACAGCTAAGAAAATTAAGCTGTCTTCTATTAAGCCAGACATTAAATAGATTTGTAAAAATGGAAAGCAGTGCTGGTCTTTGCATTTTTCTTTCTTTAAAGAAAATAGTTATTTTTTATAAAAATATGTTATTTGTTATATGTAATAAATTTATTTTCAAGTGAAGTAAAACATTTATAAAATCTATTTTCAATTTCGAATAAAGTAAACATAGATAAAAATCTACATAATTTGTTGGTGCTCTAAGTAATATTTAAGGATATAAAGAGATTCTAAGAAGTTTAAGAATTGCTGATTCAGAGGAATGATTCCACATCTGAAATACATGTTGGGGTGAGATTGCCCTTTATAGTAAAAGATTTGGATTACATTTTATGGTAAGAGACTGGACTTTACAGTAAGCAGTAAGGAGTCACAGGATATTTTGAGCAGAAAAGTGATAAAGTGGTACACACAAGATTAATCTGGAGGTGATAGATACATTAGGATGGAAGTGGGGAATGTGTAGAGTGGGGAAAAACAGTATTAACAGAAGAGTAGATATAACGTATTAAGGGTTCAGTTGATTGGGCTCAATCAGAGAGACTTGTGATGGCAGTATTGACCTAACTGTGATAAGGAGGGGAACCTTCAGATGTTGGGTTTGAGTTTGGGTCACAAGAAGAAGCTGATTTGTAGGGAAAATTGAACTGTTTGCAATTTTTTTGTACTTCTTTGCCTAAGCATTTGAGATTTAATCAGCAGGTAGAAATAACCAGTAGAGAACTGAATCAATACCAGATAGCCTTCTAGCTCTTGTAGCATCATGGAGCACCTCTGTTGCTTAAAATTAGAAGTTGTCCTTTAGTAGGTAAGCAAATTGTAATGTAGTTGCTAAAAATGTGTATTTTGGTGGCTAGGTGGTACCTTATGTTAAGTTCTAATAAAGTATACATTTATTGACTATTATGTTCTTGACACTGTACCATATATTAATAGTTACTATGTTTGTGTATGTGTGAGTTTGCGTATCGTTGAAAGCCCTGTTAACCCATGTTCTTTCGTTTTCTTAAGTACAGCATTGCAAAAAGGTTATTTTTCTATGAAGAACAATAAAATGTTGCTTAAACAAGTTACAGTCAAGATTTATTAATGAAAATAGACTTTTTTCTTTCTTTTTTGAAAAAAAAAAGACACAATTAGTGGAAGAGAAACATCTATTTCTTGCCTCTCTTATGATAAATGTTTTTAATGGAAATTCATTGATACTGTGTGGATGATTTACCAAGGCTTTTTAAAACAGCTGAAAATATGCTCTAACAACCATCTGATAAAATGAAAAACTGAACAAAATGTGTACTCAGATGATTCTCTGAAGGAATAATGGTGCAAATGAATTATCAAAGTGTGAAATCATTAAAAACAAAACATGTTTGGGTTTTTATTGAATCTTAATTGTAGGCTTATGTATTTTCTTTTGTAAGCTAAGTTAAAAGAAAATTGAGTAACTAAATTTTTGGAGGCCAGTGTTGTAGGACATATATTGTACCATAATTTATTTTTTGCATAAAAGCTGCTGTTCATTTTTTTCAGCATTAACATGCGTGCTTTCCTCATGTAGGAGAATATATAAAAAACTGGAGGCCAAGATACTTCCTTTTGAAGACAGATGGCTCATTCATAGGATATAAAGAGAAACCTCAAGATGTGGATTTACCTTATCCCCTCAACAACTTTTCAGTGGCAAGTAAGTTAATTATAATTGTTGATTCATCTTGTATTTATTTATTTTTATGATTTTATGTGTCAGATATCTTAGGCTATATGAGAAACCTGTGAAAAAGTTTGGGTTTATATTTAATAGAGAAATTTTCAGCTTTGATAGAATTTCAGTCCCTTAGCATAGAGGTTATCGATAACATTTGGTCTTATACAATGCAATAGAGTTTAATATTTTTATGTAGAACTTGAATGTGATAAATATAATTCCCCAAATACATACTTCAAGTTTTTGTTTATAACATAAAAACAAGGACCTTTGAACTTGGTTGTTAGATTTAGCATGATTATAAGATGTTGTGGTACTTAATGCACTTTAATCAGTTTCCTGTCATAATCTTAGCTCTTTTGATTGTGTGATGAGAAACAGGTGATTTATATTAGAAATCATCTTCTGGGGAGATTTTATGTTCGTAGTTAAATTTTTCTTCCTTACAAATATCTAACAAAAATGTTTAAAACTTACTTAGAAATTTTGTATTTGCATGAACATAGCACAAAATAAACTGAAAGATGACAATGATGATAATGACAATGATTATTATTGTTATGTTATTACCAGGCTCTTCCAACTCTTCAAATATATTGATTAATCAATTAGAGAATCTTTGTGTTAATTTAGAAGTAAAGTGTTTTAAATTACGCTAAGTTAAACTTGCCTAAGATCTAGCTCGTCTGTATTATTAAGCTAAAATCTTTAACGAGACAATATCCTTAATTTTGATTTTGGTTATATGTTATCTATTAGCCATATTTGGGAAAAAAAGATACAAGGGAAATTTGAAGCTAAAAAATGCAATAATATAACAAAAAATTCAAGAAAATAAGTCTTTGAATGTTACAAATTTCATTTTACCATTATAAAAGCCGTGATCTTTTTTTACTCCTATTGTTTAATTCAGGTTAGCCCTTATTAGTGGGTTAGAATGGCTACTGTATTTTTTTTAAGAAAAAGATAAAACAATAAACCAAAGGGTTAAAAGATTTGTGAAGTCATTTGAACGATATGGATACTAACTTAAAAAAAAAAGCTTTCTCTGTTTATATTAGTGGATTCTTAATATAGATATTTTTTAAATGAGATCACTATGAAGTGTGTGTGTTAGTTAAGGAAAACATCTTTTTTCCCACCAAAATGCTCATTAGATAATAATGGTTTTCTTTCAATAGAAAATTATTTTTTAAACCCTATTGTCAACTGAAATAATATATTGTATTTTGTATTGACTTAAGAACAGATTTTCATTTTAAAGACTTTTTGAGTGAACATTTGCTTTAAAGTGATAGAAATTAGCTTTTAGAACATAAGCAGCATACATTATCTAAATGCCCTACCTAAAGCCAGTGTAGCTTTTTAGTTTATCCATTTTACCAGCAAATGTTATTGGTTTTTCTGAAATAATTTATAAAAGTACAGAATTCTTGTATCTGCTGATCAAAATGCAGCATTTTTTGACCTTATGAAATTTCACACCCCAACGAGTTTTAAAGACATACTGTATGTCACAGTCTGCCAACATCTGCTCCAACACTTCCACTGGCAGAGGCTGAAATAAATGCTGCACTCTTGGGGAAGGATCCTATTTAGTGACTGACAGTCAGCTTATTTATCCATGAAATAAATACTATCTGACATCTGTAATCTTGTATAATCAAGTAGCTGTAGGTAGTTGACTCAAACTAACAAGTAAGTTGTAGGTTGGCTCCTTAGTTTTAAAAAGTATTAGTAACATGGATCTTACTCTAAATAAATTTTTAGAAATTGATTATTACTAAAGCTTGACTTACCGCAATCTTCAATTCTGTAATAACAGTTATGTGAGGAAAGAATGAGTCTACTGAAATGGATACTAGCTGAAGAAGTAGTTCAAATTCCAACCTGGCCGCAAGCTGCAAGTAATAGGACCTTGGGCAGATTATTCTCTGAAACTCTGATCTTTATGTAGTTTCTTCATCAGCATGTTAGAAACATTTGGATTCAGTGGATTTGTAAGGCCCTTTTTGTCCCTGACATTCTGTGATTCTGTGGGGTGGACTTTGAGCAGGTCCTTGAAGAGTGAGTAGGAGTTAAGCAAATTAAAACAGAGAAGAAGAATATTCCAGGCAGAGGGCAATGAAGAATGTCTTTATGAGGAATTAAGGAAGGAACAATTGGTGCAAGAGAGGGTTACTTCACCATTGCTTTTTCCTTTGCCCTAGCCCCCTTTAGTACATTTTTAAAAAGATAATTTTACAAGGTATTTCTAAGGTATGTTGGGAAATGTTATATATATATATATATATATATATATATATATATATATATATATATATATCAAATTGTAGCTACCAAAGGGATATATATATCCCTCATTTTTCTGATAATTAAAGATATTACTTCATATTTAATCAATATGGGTTTTAATGAAATTTTACCAAAATAGGCTTTTTATTTATATGAAAAGAACAGAGTATGAGAACTGTAAAGGGGTTTGAGAACTTCCAATCTTAATTAAATTTTGAATTGCTTCCCTCCTGATTTAAATTTTTCAAAAAGATAGTGTTATACTCATTGTTTCCACTTCGTATCCCACTGCAGTCTAGCTTCCTCCCTTACTCACTTGATTGAAACTACTTATAATAAATTATTGAGTGACCACTTAATTGCTAATGTAGGGGAAAAGAAATATCTTTTCTTACCATTTCAGGTTCATGGCTGAGGCTCCTATAACAAAAGGAAGATTAACAAGAGAAAAACACACAAATTTAAGTAATAAAACTTTTATGTGACAATGCAGCCTTTGGAATTGAAGACCCAAAAAAACACATAAATTTTTTTTTTTTTAGACAGTCTCACTCTGTCCCCCGGGCTGGAGTGCAATGGCATGATCTTGGCTCACTGCAACCTCCGCCTTCCGGGTTCAAGTGATTCTCCTGCCTCAGCCTCCCAAGTAGCTGGGATCATAGGCGCACACCACCATGCCTGGCTAATTTTTGTATTTTTTTTTTAGTAGAGATGGGGTTTCACCATGTTGGCCAGGCTGGTCTCAAACTCGTGACCTCAGGTGATCCACCTGCCTTAGCCTCCCAAAGTGCTGGAATTACAGGCATGAGCCACCATGCCTGGCCAAACTTGTGTATTTTTATGTTTAGGGATGATGAAGAGGTGGATAGTCATAAGGACTAAGGGCTTATAATGGTAATAAACTGAAGGGAACTTAGTAAGGCTTGTTTGTCAGATTCTTTTCTCTGTCCCTGTGTCTTCAGGAATAAGGATATTCCTTCCCTCTGGGTATAGTATGGGCATCTCTCATATGGGGATCTTATGACCTATTTCAGGGGAAGGTCAAAAAATTCTTGCTAAGTTTTATGACCTGTCTCACGTGAGAAGGATGAGAGGAAGGTAAGAATGGCCTTCCTGCTTTTGCTGTTTTCTCAAATGCTAAGGTGCTATCTTTTGGGAGATCATGTCATGAACCCTGTCAGTAAGTCTAGTAGACATCTTTCAGTTCTTATTTTTCCTGGATTTATATCTGGGCTGCATTTTATACTGTTGATCACCATCTCCTTTTTGACCACTCCCACTGTGTTCTGGGATATACCTCTTTCCTGTTCCCCCCTACCCCTTAGGCTAATGCACAGTTCTGGTATTTAACAGGGTTCTGGTTGAAGACCCTTCACACTTTGTACTTTCTCTTGGGCGGACACGTTGACTTTTGGGGTTTCAGTTGCAACCTTGTGTGCAGCTTACTCCCACACTTAAATCTCTAGGCTAGGCCTCTCTCCTGAGCATTAGGTTACTCTGTTCAATTGGCTGCTGGACATCTCTACCTAGATATTTTTTGACCAGGTACGTCCTAAGATAAACTCAAGATAATTTTGTCTATTTCTTCCTTTGTACTCAGTATCTGAGTTCTGTCTCTGCCTGATCAAAAACATGGATCCTTTCCATGCCTTTTTTTTCTCCTTCACATCTTTACCCCACTCCCAATCCATTTCTAGTCCTGCTGATTCTGCATATTTCTTGAACCTATGATCCTTTTCTATAATCACCCCAGAATGAGGCCTCATCATATCTGCTGTAGATTCTTAACTAGCTTCTCTGTTTCTAGTTTGTACCACTCATACTCTTTCTTCACGCGGGTATCAAAGTGGTCTTTCTAAAATTATATCATAACTATGCCATTCCCCTGTGAAAGCCCTGCCTTGGATCATCATTGCCTACTGGATAAAGTTCAGCTTTCTTAATACATCATAGATCTCTTCAATCTGGCCTCTACTTTCAACTCTTGCAGGATCTCTCTTCTGCTCTACAATTATGTATCAGCAATACTGAACTGTTTATAATTCCCTGTACAACCTATGCTGCTTTTCCACTCTGAGGCTTTGTTTATGCTGTTCCCTTCGATTGGAATGTCCTTTGGTCCTCTATTTGCCTGGATACTTTTCTAAGACTTAATTCAGATTTTAATTCCCATCCCTATTCCTTGCTAAATTAGTCCTCTCTGCCCTTCTTAAATCTATTATCTTCTGCTGTTAACACATTGTTTCTTGGTTATCTTGTTCCTGTGCATGTCTCATTCACTGATCAGTAAGTTATTTTAGGGGAAAGAGCTTAGTCTTATTTATCTTATATCTCCTAGTGCTTGTATTTTATGACTTAACTTTTTAAGTGAACATCTGAAACATCTAGTCGAGATTTCTCTTTTTTTAGGTGAGAAAAATGAAGCCTTTAGAAATTCAGTGATCTTTTTAAGGTTGCCTTACTAGGTAGTAGTAGTTAAGTATCAAGAATAAAACTCAAGTGTCTCGACTATCACATAAATATTACTCCCCTCCCCCACCCCTATATTATAACATTTCCCCTAGATTTATGGTGATGAGACCTGATTTGGGGCCCCATTTCCAGCACTTAAATTACTAGGTATCCTTTGACATGGAGAATGGAAACTCCACAAGGCCTGTAGAATGTGGATAGCAATATTTGACGTTCACCCTTCTTTGGGTGGATCACATAAGAACTATTAATATATAGGTGCCAATGTAGTGCTGTAGAAATGTAAGTAAAAATAAGGTTTTTCAAGCATAGTACATCTCTAATCACAATTATGGTTTGATGGATTTCTAAGGATTGTAGATTGAGATATATACAAGAAACATGCACTTTAAAAAATAATATAGGATACATACATTGTCTCAGGGCTGCATTTTATTTTACTTTGAGTAAAACAGTTTGTCTGTCCAGGAGTCATGGTCTTGCTAACATTTTGACAATTTGTATGAACCTCTCTTGAGTTTACTAGCTTGCTCAGTTCCAGAGTGGGAGTAGTTCCCACATGGAGGACGTGTGCATTTGCCCCTATGTCTTGGGCTTATCCTACTTCTGATCAATTCCTTCTTATTCTCTGTGGTGGGATGGGAGAAGTGCCAGCCTGTGTCCTAAGAAGCCTCTCCTAGAATTCTACCTTATTCTATGCTGCAAATATTGTCCCACCCTGACAATATGCTTTTCTTCTCTGAAACCTTTCTTCAGTCCCTTCTTAAAAAATAGGTTATTTCTGCATTTATAAGCACAATTTTAAAAGATGAAATATTTACTCTTTTTTTTCTTTTTTCTTTAAGTTTTTTGTTTTTTAAGACAAGATCTCACTCTGTCACCCAGGCTGGAGTACAGTGGCACAATTACAGCTCTCTGTAGCCTCAATCTCCCAAGCTTAAGTGATCCTCCCACCTCAGCATCCTGAGTATTGGGGACTACAGCTGCATGCCACCTCATCTGGCCAGTTTTTTGTAGAGACAGGGTTTCACCATTTTGTTCAGGCTGGTCTTGAACTGGGCTCATCAAGTGATCCACACCTTGGCCTCCCAAAGTGCTAGAATTATAGGCATGAGCTACTGTGCATGACCAAAGTATTTACTCTCTAACCGACTTTTCTCTCTCTCTTTGCAAGTAAGGGAATTATGGGACTTAAACCTACTAACAAACATCTTTATCTCATCCCAGATGCTTGGGTGGCTAAGGTGGAAGGATCGTTTGAGACCGGCCTGGGCAACATAGAAGGACCCTGTCTCTTTAAAAAAAAAAAAAAAAAAAAAATCTTTGAATAAATATTATATACAGAGATTTTAAATATGTAGAAAAATCAGTTGATTCCTATTAATACTTCTAGTGGACATACATGGGGATAGAGAAAAAGCTTATGACTTGATTCTTAGTCTTGTGTAACAGATAATACAACCTAGAATAATAACCTTGTAATTCTAGAAAAACTACAGACTATGTAAATATATACTATATAAATGTACATGAATTATGAGAGATCATAATAATTCACCTTCGAAGTGTTGATTGATCATTATACCCATACCTGATAGTGAAAGGAATATATAATAAAATTTTTATATGTAAGAATTTGTCATTGACTATGGAAGACATTCACATAGAACATATAGCAGTGG
The DNA here is from genome assembly GCF_000001405.40 of Homo sapiens. Lineage (NCBI taxonomy): Eukaryota > Metazoa > Chordata > Mammalia > Primates > Hominidae > Homo > Homo sapiens. The sequence goes on along the minus strand of NC_000001.11, from coordinate 243,689,120 downwards.
GAGGAAAAATAGGATTAATTGCCAAAATGAATTCTGTAGAAAGTAGCTGCTGTAGAAGTTGAGAGAAGCAATAGGTAAGTGTTGGCGAGGTTGACTGAGAATTTACTCAGGAGATGGGGTTAACATGAGCCCTGAAGAAGAGGATTTGATTATGTTTTTGTAAGACAGAGGACAGTCTCAGGTTAACAACATAAGCAAACAAATGAAGGCAAGTATTAAGGAGTAGCTTGTTTTGTGAATGGTATAGGCAATATCCTAGATGGATGGAGAATTTATGCTGGAGGAAAAAAAAAAGCTCAGATTAGAGAGTTAGTAATCAGATTATGGAAAGTCTTAAATATCAATGTGATGAAATTTTTGAACATCCGGTTTCCAAATCAGTATTCAATTTTTTTAAAAGGATGTACCTGGTTATAGTGTGCAGTGGAGGGGATACATCCTTAAACAAACAGGCTGCGAGTCAGTCAGCAAGATACAGTTTAGTCCTCATCCTTTTCAGTCTTACTGCTACCATCCTAGCTCAGTGCTTCATCACTTCCTTTCTGGATTATGTTAAGTCTCCTGATCAAGTTCTTACCTTCAAATATTATCTTTTCTGGAATATTTGGAAACAATGCATAAAATAGATTCATCTCCAAAAAAAGTTCCTTTGCAAATACCGTTCTCCTTGCTTAGAAAAATTTCAGATGTTCTCCATTTTTGACAAGGAAAAGCTGAATTATTTTTTAATATATATCCACAATTAAACACTTGCCCAAATAATAACTGTGTTTATAGCCTATATCTTTTCATTCTTTTTTTTCTGTTACTCTTTAATGTTCTATACATTTTCTTTTTGACATACATTGCTATATTCTGGTCAGGTTTAATTACATACAAAATTCCTAACCCTGTGTTTGTTTTTAATGATTTTTAGATCATTTAATCATTTTATCACTTGAAGATTTGGTGCTTTCTTTTTTTTCTTGATTTACTTTATTTAAAAAACATTTTTAATTGATACATATTAGATGTACATATTTTCGGGTACATGTGATTATTTGATACATTCATATAATGAAATCAAGGTAATTGATAAATCCATCACCTTAGATACTTGTTTTTTTCTTTATGCTATCAAATTTTTAGACAAATGGAAAGTTATATCTGTTAACAGGTGTATCCCACTGTAAGGAATAGCTGCCTTATCTTAAGAAGTGAATTACCGTAAATTTAATCAAATTTTGCTTCTCGCTTCTATTTTCATAGGTAGTGTTATGTTCAGATATTTGCAGAATTTAACCTTAAACCAAGTTTAGAATTGGGAATGGAGAAAACCTTTGTAAAAATTATTTTAAAATGAGATCATTTTTAAGAAAACTATAATGTAACAATGTCACATATTTCCTTCTTCAGGCTCCAATTCAAATCATACTCCAATTTGAAAAGAACAAAAATTCCACAAAACGTTCATTCTTTCCTACTTTTTCCTTACGTTGTACAACAAATGTGGAAAGAAAAAAAAAACAGAAAAAGTGTATCCCATCTTAATGAAAATGACTGCGGCAGTCAAGAGTTTCAAATCCAGCTGCCAGGGGTGAAAGCAACCCTCTGCATCTCTGAAAGATTTCATCAGTGTTATCTCCTTTATAATCATAACTTTTCATGTGTATCATCTGAGTTTCTTATTAAATAATCTCACTATTTTAATAGTTCCTTCATTATAACACTACAGGTGATCTGATCAGATTTCTGTTTTAGAGCCTGCTTCCTCTTCTTTAGTAGCTTCCACGATCTCCCAGCCTTTTCCTGATTTGTATTCCCAAGCCAATCATTTTAGTTACAGTCTTTACTTTCTGAGCCTCTTTTATCAGAATATAAGGAATGGGGGGGCTTATTTAGAATCAAAGGGAATGGTAAACTTGTAGAAGACAGTGACCATGCATACTCATTTTAAAAATGTCCCACAGCATTTATTACAATATCTGGTATACTGGAACATCATTGGACTTGTAGTCAGAAGACCTGACTTTGGGACTAGGTTCTACTGCTTTACTAGCTATGTGATCTTGGGCAAATCACATAACTTCTCTGATTTTCATTTTGCTCATCTTTGAACAATGGAGCTAATGATACCTTCTTCACAGGCTTACAGTGAGGATCAAGTGAGATCATATAGCCGAGTGGTGTGGCTCACGCCTGTAATCCCAGAACTTTGGGAGGCTGAGGTGGGTGGATCACTTGAGGTCAGGAATTTGAGAGCAGCCTGGCCAACATGATGAAACCCCCATCTCTACTAAAAATACAAAGATTAGCTGGGCTTGGTGGGGCACACCTATAGTCCCAGCTACTGGGCTGAAGCAGGAGAATTGCTTGAACCCGGGAGGTGGAAGTTGCAGTGAGCCAAGACCATGCCACTGTACTCAAGCCTTGGCGACAGAGCAAGACTTTGTCTCAAAAAAAAAAAAAAAAAAAAAAAAAAAAAAAAAATATATATATATATATATATATGAAAACAATTTGTATGTTGTAAAATGCTATCCAAATAGTATTAACGTAAGATAGAAGGTACTTAGTAATGTTTGCTGAATTAACTGGCAATCATTCCTCCTTTAGCTAAATTACATTGGAGTGAGGAGGAAACCACTTTACTGAGCTTTCTTTAAAGAGTCTTAAAGGTTTTAGAGAACTTGCTTACAACAGTCTGTTGCAGTTGAGGCCAAATACTATTGTTTGGTTGGAGGAAAATTTCTAGTTTCATTTCATGCCTAGGACTTTGATTAGTCAGGGCTATTCTTTCTTAATGACTAAACAGAGTGAGGTACATTCCCAAACCCTGCTTATGGCCTCCTTCTGGCCAAAAAAGAAGACATCACTATGGCTAAAGAAGTAACACCTAATTCTGTGAAGAAAGTCAATGGTAGCTTGATGGGGATAGCATTGAACCTATAAATTACTTTGGGCAGTATGGCCATTTTCACGATATTGATCCTTTCTATCCATGAGCATGGAATGTTTTTCCATTTGTTTGTGTCCTCTCTTATTTCCTTGAGCAGTGGTTTGTAGCCTTCCGTGAAGAGGTCCTTCACATCCCTTGTAAGTTGTATTCCTAGGTATTTTGTTCTCTTTGTAGCAATTGTGAATAGGAGTTCACTCATGATTTGGCTCTCTGTTTGTCTGTTATTGTTGTATAGGAATGCTTGTGATTTTTGCACATTGATTTTGTATCCTGAGACTTTACTGAAGTTGCTTATCAGCTTAAGGAGATTGGGGCTGAGAAGAAGGGGTTTTCTAAATATACAATCATGGCATCTGCAAACAGAGATAATTTGACTTCCTCTCTTCCTATTTGAATCCCCTTTATTTCTTTATCTTGCCTGATTTCCCTAGCCAGAACTTCCAATACTATGTTGAATAGGAGTGGTGAGAGAGGGCATCCTTGTCTTGTGCTGGTTTTCAAAGGGAATGCCAAGAAAGAGCCCATATAGCCAAAACAATCCTAAGCCAAAAGAACAAAGCTGGAGGCATCACGCTACCTGACTTCATACTATACTACAAGGCTACAGTAACAAAAACAGCGTGCTACTGGTACCAAAACAGACATGTAGACCAATGGAACACAACAGAGGCCTCAGAAATAACACCACACATCTACAGTCATCTGATCTTTGACAAACCTGACAAAAACAAGCAATGGGGAAAGGATTCTCTTATTTAATAAATGGTGTTGGGAAAACTGGCTAGCCATATGCAGAAAACTGAAACTGGACCCCTTCCTTACACTTTATGCACAAATTAACTCAAGATGGATTAAAGACTTAAATGTGAGACCAAAAACCATAAAAACCCTAAAACTGTAAAACCATAAAAACCCTGGAAGAAAACCTAGGCAATAATATTCAGGACATAGGTATGGGCAAAGACTTCATGTCTAAAACACCAAAAGCAATGGCAACAAAAGCCAAAATTGACAAACGGGATTTAATTAAACTAAAGAGATTCTGCACAGCAAAAGAAACTATCATTAGAGTGAACAGGCAGCCTACAGAATGGGAGAAAATTTTCGCAATCTATCCACCTGTCAAAGGGCTAATATCCAGAATCTACAAGGAACTTAAACAAATCTACAGGAAAAAAGTACCCCATCAAAAAGTGGGCAAAGGATATGAACAAACACTATGCAAAAGAAGACATTTATGTGGCCAACCAACATATGAAAAAAAGCTCATCATCACTGGTCATTAGAGAAATGCAAATCAAAACACAATGAGATACCATCCCACGCCAGTTAGAATGGTGATCATTAAAAAGTCAGGAAACAACAGATGCTGAAGAGGATGTGGAGAAATAGGAATGCTTTTACACTATTGGTGGGAGTGTAAATTAGTTCAACCGTTGTGGAAGACAGTGTGGCGATTCCTCAAGGATCTAGAACTAGAAATACCATTTGACCCAGCAATTCCATTACTGGGTATACACCCAAAGGATTATAAATCATTTTGCTATAAAGACACATGCACACGTATGTTTATTGCAGCCCTATTCACAATAGCAAAGACTTGGAACCAACCCAAATGACCATCAGTGATAGACTGGATGAAGAAAATGTGGCACATACATACCATGGAATACTATGCAGCCATAAGAAAGGATGAGTTCATGTCCTTTGCAGGGACATGGATGAATCTGGAAACCATCATTCTGAGCAAACTCTCACAGGAACAGATAACCAAACACCGCATGTTCTCATTCATAAGTGGGAGTTGAACAGTGAGAACACAGGGACACAGGGAGGGGAACATCACACACCGGGGCATGTTGAGAGATTGGGGGCTAGGGGAGGGATAGCATTAGGAGAAATACCTAATGTAGATGACAGGTTGATGGGTGCAGCAAACCACCATGGCACGTGTATACCTATGTAACAAACCTGCACGTTCTGCACATGTACCCCAGAACTTAAAAGTATAATAAAAAAAAGTAAAAAACATTTATACAAAAAAAAGTATTCAATTAACATATATTGATTGCTAAAAAAAAAATAAATAAGATCTAACACCATTGGATCAGAGACAAGAGTTTGGGTGAGGGCAAGGGGAACGGGGTATAGACCAAATTCTTCAAACCCTGGGCTTTGGAAGACAAAGCTGCTGCAGGCTGAGAAAGACCTGTGTGACTGTTGTTATTCCCTTTTTAGTCAGAAGTTGTTTTTTCTTAAAGTAATAAAATCCTTCAGTATTTTTCTGACTGGTTGAAGAGGATCCTATCCATTGGAGGAAAAATTAAAGGTACTTTGCTTCCTAGATTACTGCTTTATTGAGAGGTGGAGGATGCAATGGGGATTGTTTTTAAAGGAAGGCAGGCAAGTAGTTATCAGCTTCAATAGTTTATACTGAGGACATAGAAGAGATTCCAGCATGACCACCTTCCTTTATTCCTTTCTTTTTCCCTCTTTCCTTTCCTCTGTATCTGCCTTCCCCCCTTTCTGTCTCACTCAACTTTTTCGAAGGTCAGCAATCAACTATTACTTGTTGATAGGTGCTTAAGTAAGGGAATACCCTACATATAATTAGTATCACTCAATTATTTTTAAATACTTAGGACTCCTTCCTTGATTTTCTTTTCTAGCCATCTCAAATAACAACCATTTGCACCTACTGTGTTTTGAAGTTTTCTACCTTGTGTGTATGTGTTTGACTTAAAGTAACACAATTTGGAAACATAGGAGTCATCAAAATTAATATTTAAATATATTTTTTAGGAAGTCTAAATTGTAATGAATATTTAGGAAGTTTTTATTGAGGGTTATTATGTTCTCAACATTGTACCAGGTACTGAGGGGAAAAAAGAAGGAAATAAGGAAACCAACCTTTCTTTGAGCGTTACTATGTATCAAGCCCTTTCACATATGTTTTCTCATTTTATCTTCACAACAACACTGTGAGGTAAGTATTATGCTCCCCATTTTAAAGGAACTCAGAGTGGTTATATGACTTGCTTAGGCCACTGTTTGGCAAATGGCAGAGCCCACAGCATGAACCCATGTCTAACAGAGTGAACCTAGAGTTTTGTGTTCATTTTCTTATTCCACAGATACAAGATCTAGCCCTTGGCTTTAAAGAATTTATAGTCTAGTAGCAAAAATATGCCACAGACCCTTGGGATTGGTATTTTGAGATGTTTTATGGCTAAGTTTTGAAGGGAGTTTTGCAATTAATACATGCAGTTACAATTTAGGAAAAAGAGGTATCATTAAAGACAGAATCATCAAGAAAAGCTTCTTTGGACATTGAGATTGTTTGGAGAAATAGTAAGATTTCAAAAGATAAAGTTACTTTCCAGGTAACAAGAATAGCATTAATTTGAAAAATTATTTCTGAGAAACTTTGGCTGAATTTCTTTTCATCTTGTCAAAGTAAGTGGGTATGAAATCTTCAGAAATGAATGAAAGCTCCAGATGGTATGTTATGTCCTTATCCCTGTATAGAGTGAAAAATATCAAATGAGGAAAAAGAATAAATGATAGGAATAAATATGGCGTTTGAAATACTTAGCAGAATGCCCTAATCATGTCAGACATTGTTTTCTCAGGGCCACAGTTAGGCACTAGCTACCCTGTTTGTTAGCTTACCTCGTGTTTTATTTGTAGTTTCTGTAGTAACATTGCTGTTCATCTTTTCTCCTGGTAGAATATAAAATAATTTTACTGACAAATAAATACTCCATTTTAAAATCCTACCTACAGAGTTTTTAAAATTTAAGCTAAAAAGGTTATAAACTGTAGCTTGGAAGGTGGTACATTATCTCTTTATATATTTATTTTTTAAAAATTTGCCTTCTTGTATGTAGGGAAGTTGGAGTATTGTGGATGGGAAGTGGAGGGTGGGGTAGGAGGATCACCACCTGCAGCCTGCGTGTGATAAGGCAACTGTAGTGTATTTACTGTATAATTTTTTTATGACCTTATTAAACGTATAGATTATTTTGGTTAAGTTGAATGTAGATAACTATTTGATTTACTTGTTGAATTTTTTTTTTAGTGTGTCATTTTAAACTTAAATTTATAGTTTCTAGAAAGAGGATTGTGCGTAACTAGTTTTTGAAATTGTAATTAGAAAGATGATTGTTTGCCCATTATATTTGGTGTTTTAATCTCATTTTATAATTAATACATCGGAAATTAGGAGGGCAATTAAGGAAGTAAAGGAAGAAAATTAACATTTTTAAAGAGCCTGCTTTTTACAAGGTGTTTTATTTGTGTAATTGCATTTTGTCATCACATGAAAAACATGAAATAAATATTATTACTTAAAGGAAAAAAAACTAGATAATGAATCTGAGACCTAGAGAGACTGAAAAACTTGCCCAGAACCTCAAAGCAAGTACGTGGCAGAACTGTGATTTGAACTCTAACACCTGGTTTGAATGCATTTAATCATATATGGTGTTCAGAGATGACAGCTCTCTTCAAGTAATACGTCGTCAGCACCCATAGAACTTTCGTGCTATGCCACGTATCACCCAGTGGGTTAATAGTGGACTCTCATTGTTGTCAGGAGTTGTATTATATATAATAGCGAGACTTCTTTCTGCTAGAGCAAAGGAACAAATATAGATGTCGTAGATGGGTGGCTGATAAATTTGATAGAGTTTTATTATGTAATGTTGAGCCAGTCGCTTAACCATACTGGGACTCAGAATTTTGTCATCTGTAGAGTGAGGGAGTTAGAGTGAAGGATCTCTAAAGTCCTTTCTTCTAATTCTAAATTCAGTGGTTTGCCTATCAGCAGCAGATAATTATTTCTTGAAATATTGAGTATATTGTGGAGTAGTATAGTAATAAATTACCACTTGTTGAGTACCTTCTGCCTCGTATTTTACATACATATATATATGTACATACATACACATATATGTGTGTGTTAGTAAGATATATTTAATGTTACTAACATCTTTGGAGGACAAACAGTCTATTTTATAGCTGGAGAAACTAGGTTCATGGAATTTCCCAGTGGCAAGGAATTCTTTCAGAGATGGAGCTGGGAGATAAACCTGCAGCTTTCAAGTTTCCAGACCAGTGCTTTTTCCATATTCCTACTTAACTAATGGATCTCTGACTACCTTACAGTAGGGCCTTGAGGTGAGAGGTTTTCCAGTGTGGGCAATTCAGAAGATATGGGTTTTCCATGCCTCTAGACTAGTCTGTCTGTCTGTATCATGGATCAGATCTTGTCATTCTTGACTAATACATGAAGATGTATTTGAGAACTTTTGGATAATTCCATTTAGGGAAACAGCAGCTTAATGTAGATGATTCACTAGTATGTGAAGATTTCAGCATTGCTTTTCCAACTAAGTCATAGAAGCCATAGGGGAGACACTGATTTTTTTTAGAGGCAGAATCATCTGAATATTTGCAGTAAGTTATATAATCATTGCATTTTTAACAAGTTGAACTTGAGGGACATGTTTTGTTGCTTCCTCTGAGTTGATACATGCTAAATTATTGGCTTTCTGATTTTTTCACCCCTATATCTTTATTTTAATTTAAAAGCGTTTATTATACTTTGAGTAAAGTTAAATGAGGCCTAAGGCCACATTGGGAGGAAGAACCTTTAAGCCTTGGAATTTAGGAAAGATACAGAGGCGTTCTTTTGGGTTGGAAATAATACATAATCAAGCAGATGCTAATGAAAAAATGAAATGCAGGGGAAGAGAAAAGAGACTAGGGTGCCTGTTTGGAAGTTTTATAGAGGAGAGTACATTGCCCCTTTATTACAATAATGTTTCTGAACTATAATAAGGTCTTTCATTGCAAGTTCAGCTTTTTTCATTCATTTGTTTTGTGCTCTGCTTCCTCTGTTACTAATTGTCAGCACAATAGTCTTCCAACTATGAAGTCTCAGTGTCCTTTTGGACCAATTTGTCATTGTCTTTCTCCCTCACCCCCCAACCCATGCACTCAGAATCTATTACTATGGTTGCATTTTTAGACATTTTTAATGTTTTAAAATGGCACTGCTTTTGAAACCTGCCAGAATAGTTCATGATAACTGAATCATCCAACCAGCAACAGTTATTGCTTCCAAAAGCACACTGATAAAGTTTCTGTCTCTATAGGGTGTTCTTATAAGATAATTAAAAATAAACATGTAATAATCTTTACAGCACTATTTCATATGCATTGTTTCCTTTGAACTTCACGTTAGTCCTGTGTAACATTTTGTTAAAATATTTTTGTTAAACAGTATTATTTACAGATTTACTGTTTGCCTCATAAATTGTTTGATATTTCTATGCCTCTAGGAAGTTCCATCTCTCTTCTTTACCTATTGATGGGTCTTTATTTTTATAGACAGATTATTTTATTATGACTAAGGAATCAGCAAAGTTGGCTTAGACTGACAAGCCTGAATAAATTCTGATATTAGACTCCAGGCAACTTTAGTTACATGTTAATTCATGTTAGGTTTTTAACATTTTGGCCAATGAACACTTTAAATGTGTTCTCAGCCTTGTTCCAATAATCTGATACTGACAGAAAGACATTATTTAAATATAACTTCTATAAAGAAGTCCTGAAGCAGTGTAATATTACTTGACAACTTATCTGTCACTTACAGAACTTTGTCTTATGTGATCAGAGCTTGTTGGTGCTTTTACATATAATGTCAATGAAGATGGCAGTTATTTTTAATGCATGAATACTAAATAAAAGATTGGTCAGTTTTCTCTGGGAGAAAACATATTTCAGTTCTCTATCACCTGTTTGTATCAATTTATTCACATAAAACTAGAAAGTGAAATACAGTTGACCCTTGAGCAATGCAAAGTTTAGGGGCTTCAACCCTTGTGTAGTCAAACATCCTTGTTCTAACTTTTGACTCCCCCAAACTTAGCTACCAATATCCTACTGTTGCCCAGAAGCTTTACCAATAAACAGTTAATTGATACATATTTTGTGTATTACATGCACTATATACTGTATTCTTATAATGTAAGCAAGAGAAAATGTTATTAAGAAAATCATAAGGAAGAGAAAATATATTTGCTATTCATTAAGTGGAAGTGGATCATAAAGGTCTTCATCCTCATTGTCTTCTTGTTGAGTAGGCTGAGGAGGAGGAGAAAGAGAAGGCGTTAGTCTTTCTGTCTCGGGTGGCAGAGATGAAGAGATGTGGAGCGGGTGGAAGGAGAAGGCAGGAGAGATAGGCACATTTGGTGTACTATTATTGAAAAAAATCCATGTATAAGTGGAATTGTGCCGTTCAGACCTGTATTTTCCAAGAGTTGACTGTGTATAAACGTTATTAGAAAGAAAGAAAACTTTACTTCCTTTCATAAACAACCAACATCCATCCTAAAAACAGTATGTGATACAAAAAGAGACATGAATTTAGAGCTAGAAAACCTGGATTTGAGACTCAGTTTTACCACATTAATGGCTTGATGATTTTGAATAAGTGATTTAGACATTAAATAGCTTCCTTTTTAAAAAATTTGTGAACTGGAAATGACCATACTTTAGAACTCAGCTGAGAGGATTAAGTGAGGAATAATGTATGTGAAATCTTAATGTAGTGAATCAACTGATAATATGCTAAGATAATTACTTAGTAGTTACTATTTAAAAAATAAATTTTGGAGAAAGATATAATAGAAAGCAAAATTTTCCTACTGATTTAAATTGGCAGAGATTTAAGATGAGATTTTCCCCCCATTCTTCTAGAGATCAGTGAAGGAGCTGATTCTTTTACTTTACTTCATATAGCTTGCTATCTATCAAACCAGATTTTAAAATGAAGTGTTTTTATTGTTTTTGTTGTTGTTGTTGTTGCTGTAGTAAATACCCAAGAGGCCTTTTTATGTCTGTGGTTGGAACCATCTTTCAAAGCCAGGCTAACTTATTTGGAGTTAGAATTCCTGAAGGCAAAGAAAACACATCTATACCTTCCCCTTAAAGTTTAAAGAAGTTAGAGAGTGCTTTCCAAAGAGGTGGTATTCTGATAATGACTGATAGGCTATCTCTATATTTGACTTTTTTTGTTTGTTTGAGACAAGAGTCTTGCTCTGTTGCCCAGGCTGGAGTGGAATGGCGCGATCTCGGCTCACTGCAACCTCCGCCTCCCAGATTCAAGCAATTCTCCTGCCTCAGCCTCCCAAGCAGATGGGATTACAGGCACCCGCCACCACGCCCAGCTAATTTTTTGTATTTTTAGTAGAGATGGGGTTTCTCCATGTTGTCCAGGCTGGTCTCGAACTCCTGACCTCAGGTAATCCACCCGCCTCAGTCTCCCAAAGTGCTGGGATTACAGGCATGAGCCACCGCACCTACCCTCTATAGTTGATTTTAATGGAATTACTTGATTTGTTTATAATCCTCCACAATTCATTGTTTATTTGGACAGTGCTTTACTCTGGATAAGTAGACCTACCTTTTTATTTTTCTCCAAGGGGGAAAAATCCTTTATTCTTTACATCTACTCCTTTCACCTTTTCCTGTGGAAAAAAAAATATCTCAAGTATTAGAGCTGTTGCTCCAAAATCAAAAATATGATTAGGATTCAAAAATATCTATTTTTTGAAAAGTATGTTTTTTGAAAAATATATTTTTTCATATATATGAAATATATAAATATACATTTTATGAGAAAAAAATAAGTTGTGAGAAATTATATTGTTTCTGAAATGTTTCCTGAAGCTTTTCCTAGAATTCAGTCTGTATGTGCTTAGATTTTGATGAATAGAAAAGAACTATGAGAAGTATTCCAAATTCCCTGAAACTTAAGGAGTTCCACTCAAAACAGTCAAATAAATCACAGCATATGATGAAGTACCACCATATGGGATACAAATAAGTGTAGTAGATCTTCAGGGATAGAGAGTATGAGTTGGAATAAGAGAAGATCTTGAGTGACTAGAATCTAAGTAAAAAGGAAGGGAGTATGTGTCAGGTGAGAGAAACAGCATGAGTTGTTAAATCCTGAAGTTAATAATAATCAGATAATTTTTAGGGGACAGTGAAGAGACATGTTTATTAGCAGAAAGTACTTATAGTTTGGCAGTGAGGAATACAGTTTGAAACTTTTTGTTTTAATTAATGGGGCTTCCTTATGAATAGCTTTGAAAGTCAGGCTAAGAAATGTATTTGAACATTGTCCTGCAGACAGGAAAATATTTTTGAAGAGAATGACATACAGTTTAAGAATTTGGGTAGGACTCATCTTACTAGTAGTATGTAGGACAACTTAGGGAGAAGGGTAGAAAAGGGAGACCACCTAAGAGGTCATTTCAGTGATGAGGATTTTGATAGTAAGTTCCCGGGTTGGGTGTCAGCAGTGGACAAAAAAAGGATGATTCCAAGAGTCATAACGAACAAACTGTTAACATGAATGTTGGTGGCTTAGCCATGAGGGCTGAAAGAGAAGGACGAGCCAGAGATGACTGAGGAAGTGTTTCTTGGGTGATTAGGAAGATGATATGGAAATAAAATAGAAAAACTGTACTGGTATAGTAATTTTCAACTTGGAAGCTGAAACAAACAAAAACAAAACCCTTTTGGATATCTTGAGGATGAGGCAGTATAGGGCATCAAAGGAGATGCTAGTTTTGCCATATGGGGATGGAGCTTGATGAGAAGGGCCGTGACTGAAGAAGCAGGTTTGAGAGTCATCAGACATCAGGTGTCAGTCGATGCAGAGCTACTGGGGAGCCTATCTATAATTAAATCCAAAGTCCTTACCAACTCATTGAAGATCTTTCTAACCTCATCTCCTACCTTTTTTCCTAACTTACTTGACTCCAATTACACTGGGCTTCTTGCTGTTTCACAAATCCATCTGTGGAATCCCTCCAGCTGTGAGTCTGCACTTAATGTTCATTCTGTGTAACTTACTCTTCCCGAAGGTAATCTGCATTGGCCTCTCATTTCATTAGAGACACCCTTTTAAATTAATCTTTCGAAAATAGTATCACCTCCCGTTCACTTCAACTCGTTGACCTGCCTTATTTTTCTTCATATTGTTTATAAGCACCTACTATGTTATAAATTAATTGTTTTGCTTGTTTATTGTTTGACTACTCATCCCCTCAGTAAAATATAAGCTTTATGGAAAATAGGCACCTTGTTTTGTTCACTGCTATTCAGTGCCTAGGTTACTGGCTGATATACTGTGGGTACCTAACAAATATTGTGTAATTAATGTCTAGATTTACTATGGGAAAAAATGTCAAAAATAAAAGCATAACAGAAAGGTCTGAGCCTTTGGAAGGTAAAGGTCTGAGCCTCTACTTTGGAAGTAGAGGCCCTAAGAAAAACTAATGAATGGTATGGGATGGTAGTAAAACCAGGCAAGTCAGTGTCATGGAGGTCAAGGAAAAGGGACTCAAAGGATAGGGAGCCAAGAACATCAAATGCTGCAAAGAAATGAAAATGAGAACAAGGAAAATATATCTGATAAAAAGGAGACTGCAGTAGAGTGGTGGAAACCAGAATTTAGCTAATTGGTTAAGGCATGGGTAACAAAGGCCAGCCTTGTAGATTATTTTGAGTGATTTACCAGCAAAACGAAGGAGAGGAATGGGGCAGTTAGCGGGAAGAGGAGCAGCATTTAATACAAGTGCTTTAAAGAGTGACTTTGAGGCTGGATGTAGTGGCTCACGCCTGTAATCCTAGCACTTTGGGAAGTGGAGGCGGGCTGATCACCTGAGGTCAGGAGTTTGAGACCAGCCTGGCTAACATGGTGAAACCCCGTCTCTACTAAAAATACAAAAAATTAGCTGGGCGTGGTAGTATGCGCCTGTAATCCCAGTTACTCAGGAGGCTGAGGCAGGAGAATGGCGTGAGCCCAGGAGGCAGAGGTTGCAGTGAGCCGAGATTGTGCCACTGCACTCCATCATGGATGACAAAGCAAGGCTCCATCTCAAAAAAAAAGTGACTTTGAATCTGCATCTTGGTCTTTGTATATGTTTATTGTTTATTTCACTGTGGTATGTATGCACTGATAAGCTACTTTGAAGATACGTGAGTAGAAATTGTCTCATTGGTACAGATGGAAATCTCGAGGCATTTAAGTTGTAAGTTACTTCTAAGTGGGACCTATGCAATTGGTACATATGGACATAAAGATGGAAATAATAGACACTGCGGACTCCAAAAAGGAGAAGGGTGGGACAAGGACCAGAAAACTACCTATTGAGTACTATGTTCATTATTTGGGTGATGAGTTCACTAGAAGCCCATATCTCAGCTTTATACAATACACCCATGTAACAAACCTGCACATCTACTTCATGAATTGAAAATTTTTTTAAAAGCTGTATCACAATCACATCTAATAAAACTAATCTTTAGTATTACCAAGTACAAATTCATATTCAGATTTCCCACTTGTTGCCTAAAACTGGTTTGTTTAGACCAGAATGCATTAAGGAGGACCACGCATTGCATTTGGTTTTTATAAATCTTTTAAGTCCCTACTAGTCCAGCAGAGTATTAGACTACCTTCCTCACCCCTCTTTTGGGTACATTCACTTATTAAAGAGACTACTTCATTTGTCCTGTGAAAGTTCTGTCTTATGGAATTCTCTGATCGTTTCTACGAGGTGTCATTTAACTTTTCCTCTACCTCTGTATTTACTGTAAAAGGAAGTTAGATCTAAGGATTCCATCAGATTCATATTCAGAATTTTTATCAAGATTGTTTCCTTCGTGAGTCTGTGTACTTCATATTGCGTTATGTCAAGAGGTACCTAGTATTTGGTTGACCAGCTCTTAGTAATGCTATCATTGTTCACTGGGTTACGGTGGTGACAGTGTCATCTCTTCATTATAAACTAAGTTTCTCTCATGTGGTTACCAGATAATCTGTGGTTTGACATGTTGGCACTATGCAATATTTAGTCTTAATTAGTTATTTACCAAATGATTTTACCATTGGTGATTTTTGCCTGAATTAATTATTTTATTAGGGGTAGATTATCTTTTAGGTATTTTTTAACATGATTTCAATTAGCCAAGGCACAGATAAATTGGGGCAGTATGTTAGTCATTCTGTTTATTTATTTGAGACCAGCCCTGTTTAGGCATAGTACCAGAAATCAAATAGTATGGACCTTCCCCTAAGGGAATTTTCAATCTAATGTACATTCTTGTTGAATTGTTTAAAAATTTTGTTATCAAATCCCAGTTTCATCATGTTTCAAATATAAATAGCTTTTCTTAAAAATAGACCGGGCACAGTGGCTCACGCCTGTAATCCCAGCACTTTGGTAGGCTGAGGTGGGTGGATCACGAGGTCAAGAGACCGAGACCATCCTGACCAACATGATGAAACCCCATCCCTACTAAAAATACAAAACTTAGCTGGGCCTAGTGGCGCACGCCTGTAGTCCTCGCTACTCCGGAGGCTGAGGCAGGAGAATTGCTTGAAACCCGGGAGGCGGAGGTTGCAGTGAGCCGAGATCGCGCCACTGCACTCCAGCCTGGTGAAAGAGCAAGACTCTGTCTAAAAAAAAAAAAAAAAAAAAAATCTCATAATTATTTTTCAGATTTTACCATGTTATGTAATGAATGGTTAAATATCCTGTGTACATCTGAGTAATTTACTTCTGTTTCATGCATTATGACTATAAATAAACTGCTTATTCTGGTGTATGAGTACAATGGAGTTTTATGCCACTATTAAATATAATGATGTAGATCTTTATTTACTGAAATGGAAAATATCCAAAACATATAATATCATCAATAATGGTCTCATTTTTGTTTCTAAAAAGTGCTTAGAATAGGTCTAAAAATGTATGTATTCAAACACTAATAATGGTTATAACTGAATGGTAGGATTATGAGTATTTTTATTTTGCCTATACTTATGTATGTATTTTTCTGTATTAAGCATGGATGATTTATACAGTGAAAGTAAATCAAGAAATATGTTTGAAAACCATCTTGCCCACACAACAATTTGAATTCAGTAATGTCACCAAACTGTATACTTAAAATGGTTAAAATGGTACATTTCATGTTATGTATATTTTACTACATTTTTAAAAAGCCCATGGCTATTATACTGCAAAAACCAAAATCAAAGCCAAAAAACCAACATGCCTAATTCCTTGAGTCCACTAGATGTTTGCATGCCTCTTATAATTCTTTTAGTAAATGCCTTATGTCATTTTTATATTTTAACTATTGTCTCAAAATGACCACAGTACGTTTATTTGGAATTTCAAGTAGGCAGAAAGTATGCCAAGAACAGTTGTTCCAGAAGACTCTTGAGGTGTATGTTTGTTTAATTAGAGGCAGGATTCGGTGGGCAAACAAGACAGAGAAATGTTGATGGGGAAAATATTGGCTCTGTAAGTGTGCTTTTGGTAAATGGTAGTATCTGTAGTGACCATATTCAAAGAAGAAAAATGTGTTAGGAGAAGTTCACATTAACATATCGTGACTTCAAATTCAACTCAAGTTCATAAATAGTATTTCATGTTAATTCCAAAGTGGTGGTTTATGATAATTAAAATGTCACAATTTGGAATGTGGATGATGAAGTGAAAAACATCTTCTAGAGGGAAATGTAATGTTAGTAATCCAGTCTGACTCCCATTATTTATTGAACCCCTTGTATTATGGAATCAAATGTAAGAACTTTGTCTTCTCTCCTATTTGCTTATGTGGAGAGAGATATGTTGAGTTTGGGTGATAAAACGCAAATGGTTCAGACAAAAATAACTAGCAATGCGGAGCTGGATTGATGTGAGTCTGCAGATCACTTTTCCATTATTAGTAATTGAACTTTTTTTAATCATTAACTTCATTGGTATTGGAGAATGTGAGAGCCAGCAGTGAAAGAACCCAAAGGCTCTCTTGCCTTCCTTTCTGCTATCCTTACCACTTTCTTTCCCTTCAGCTTCTCATTCTAAACCGCCTCCCGTTACTCCTACCTGGAGAAACGAGATGTCAAGGATCAGCATCCTGCTAGGGGATAACCCTCATTCCTGTCCATCCCTATACTGTGGAGAGAACCAGAGGCAAACACATTGGAGCCCTCTCCCGCTCAAACACTGTTATCAGTTGAAACTTATCCTGGATTTGCTTATATGAGAAAAAGTGTCATAGATGGGAGAAGGGCCAAGCACGGGGAAGGTGTAGAGAAGGTATAGAAGAGGGAACAGACATTCCTATGGCTTTGACAGATGATTACTGATTTTTAAGGCATTTTTCCTAGCAGTGTATTCTCTTCAGAAGAGCATGGGATTGGGATTGAGATAGACTTGGAATAAATCCTTATATAATGACTCACAGTTGTGTGTTTTGGGGCAAGTTATTTAGCTTGCCTGAGTCTTGTAAATTTGCTCATTTAGAAAATGGAAGATAATAACACCTTTTAGGTTTTTCCTTTGGATTAAATGAATAACATTTATGCACCACTCTTTGTGCAGTGCTTGGAACGTAGTGATCACTCAACAGTTATCTGCTGCTGGAATGCTCTCTACCAGGACACCTGCCTCACCTAAGTCACCTTCCGCTCATTGGATTAAATGAATCTCTTAAAGGTTGATGTATTGAGTCTTAAATAGGTGTTATGCTTTTTTGCCCCTAGTGAAAACATTAAACAAAAGATAGAAATGCTTTTTGTCCCCTTCAGAGAACCTCCATGGTGTATCATATTTTTAAGACCTGAAAAATAAATTTGGTTTATGGTCATCATAACTCACAGCCAGCATTATTTCATTATGTGATTTAATAAAAAATGGAATCTGGCCGGATGCAGTGGCTCACGCCTGTAATCCCAGCGCTTTGGGAGGCCGAGGTGGGCGGATCATGAGGTCAGGAAATCGAGAGACCATCCTGGCTAACACAGTGAAACCCCGTCTCTACTAAAAATACAAAAAAATTAGCTGGATGTGGTGGTGGCCACCTGTAGTCCCAGCTACTCAGGAGGCTGAGGCAGGAGAATGGCATGAACCCGGGAGGTGGAGCTTGCATGAGCCGAGATTGCGCCACTGCACTCCAGCCTGGGCAACAGAGCGAGACTCCGTCTCAAAAAAAAAAAAAAAAAAGGAATCTATTATTATGCCTTCGTTTTTCACATTGGATGTTATTTTAGAAAGAATAAAATTAGTGTTTAAATGGCTAAAGAGGTTGGTTGAAATTAAACCTTTAAACATTTTAATCTAAACAGATGATCTCTAAAAATTTTTTTTTTGGTGTATGTATTTCTTGGTCTGACATGTTGCAGTCTCTCTAATTGGGTTTCAGGTTTGCAGAGTAATTACAGCTTTGTACAGACTTTGTCATCTGTGGCTCAGAATGGTGTAAAGTAAGCAGAACATTTAAAATTCAGCTTGTGGTTCATGTTGCTCAGTAGAGTTTAACTAGTGTATAACTATCTAATATAAGTAACAGTGTAACAAATAACACTGAGAAGTAGATGTTATAATAAGAGTTAGCTACCTGGCATTTTGTATAAGCACATTTACTTTACTGATGCATATTAAATGATTCTAAAAATCGTAGATAATCATTTGGTTAATAGCTTTTTAGAATCTCTATCCAAAGTTTCTACTTCTGATTTTTAAAATTTAAATTGCCCTACCTTGCGTTGGGAATCTTTACGTAACCAAAAGGCAAATATTCTTCTAAAGAAGTATTGGCTAATCCATTTATTAACCACCATTTCCTTTAAGAATCATGTGTTTCTGATTCCTTATTGCGAACATGCAAGAACTCAAAAGTTTTTCTATTTACTCGATCACTGGTTTTAACATGGTAATTTAGAGTTTTAACTTTTTTGAATTTGGATTCAGCTTTTTAAATTACATTTGTTTTGTACAGCAACAAACCATAAGACATTGTGATATTCTCTTGGTAGTGATCCAACTACCACTTGAACATCTTGGTGTAGAGATGAAATGTGTTTGTAGAGTATTTCATACTGAGACCTAAAAAATATAGGTTTATTTCTATTATACTGTTTATTTGTAATTACACGTAACATTATTTTTGTTGGACTAGAGGGTTCACAGGACCTGATTAAACCCTTTATAGCATAAATGAAATACTACTTTATAATTACATGGGTAGAATGATCAGTAGTATGGTGTGTACCATGAGCTCATAGAGTTTCCTACTCATTTTTGTGTGCCCAGCATTTTGCATAGTGCTTGGCCCATAACTGACATTTCATATATGTCATTTGGTTCATGAATACTTAGCAAGTTTAGTAAGAACAGTGAAGTTGTGCATAACTACTTAGTCATTATGTTACTATTTTAATATTTTTCCAAACCACTCTATACATAAATACAGGTATTTTATTCTTTTCTAAGCCATTCCTTTTCAGTGATCTGCTTGAGAATGGTAATTATAGTAATATCTTTTATTGTTTTTAGCAGCCTTATAAATTATAGTAATTGATATTTGGAATCTTATAACAGCACTTCGAGTAGCTTCTAAAAGTCTAGTGTTGAGAAGTTCTTTAAATTATAGCATTTAAACTTCATTTAGGTATAGTGTTGAAAATATGCTTTTAATTCATGATAGTGCTTTTAAAGATGATAAACCTGAGGGCTTAGATATAAAGTACTTTCAAAAGGATCACACAGCTGATTGTGTTAGAGCCTGGATTTGAATTTCTTTCTGATTGCAGAGTCCATTATCTTAATTACCTTATATCACCATAATGGGAACCTGAAGTAAAACTGAAATAGTGAACCTCAGACCGGGCATTCTTTCTTTGCTTCTGTGCTGTATTTCTCTGTACCCCATAGTATTTCTCTTGGGCACGCCCCTCATTTAAGTGTCTGTCCTCCATTCTTTACGTTTAAAGCCAGCCAATCAGTTGCCCAATCAGGGTATTTATTGTATACTCCTATGTCCTGTCACTGTCCTAGGTGCTATAAGAAGAACTGTGCACACAATTCCTAACTTTTAAGTAATATAGCTAGTGAATTACTGGCTGGAAATTTAATAGGGCTTTTGAAAAGAAGGATATGGGGAGGAACAGTTGGCTTCAAAGAGAATCAGACTGATGGGCAGAGTCAGTCATAGGAATTGGTTGGCTCTTTATTAGTATAAATTAGTATAATGTCTTTGGTATTTTAAAACTTAAGTCTTTCAAATGAACAATATTTTTGCTTATTTTTTGTGGAATATATATTTTGTGTTTTTTAACTTTCATATTTCAAAAAATGTCATGCTGCTATACAAAGTTGAATTGTGATATAATAGATTTTATGACCTATTGATTCTACCACCTTTTCATTGTCTTGCACATCCCCAGGTTCTCACTTTCCTCCATACCCATTTTAAGTTTCTTAGTTGAGTATCATAATCACTCCCTTGCCTTGCATTCTTTATTCTTTTCTGTCTTCTTGCTTTGACAAACTTACTTGGTTAAAGTACAGCCTTGCTTAAATTCATTACTCTATGTTCCTCACCTGTACACATGCAGCTGAATATATCTGGGTATATCTGGGAGAAAATACACAACCATGATCTCTGTTATTAGTTTAAATTCTTCATTATTAAATTCAGGTTGGTCCTTCATCCTTCTCGGCAGTCATGGTTGGTCTCCTTAGCCTATTTGTACTTTGATTTTCCCAGAGTGCTATTTCATATCTTTTTTTCTTCAAAGCCTGATGGATCCTTTTGCAACGTTATTCCCGATGACTTTATATCCTAATTCACTGAAAAAAACAGAAGCAGTGAGAAAATAATTTCTACCAGCTTTTACTTGCTTCTGTACTCCTAATTGCATTTGGGCCCTTATATCTTCTCTTTTATTTTATTACTAAACTATTTATACTCCTGATTAGAGCTACCCCTTTACTTGTCCAGTAAATTTAATCCCTTCTTGCTTATATAGGTACATTGCTTTAGAAATTATCTTTTGGTAGCATCAAAATTACCTTCTTTGTTGGATTATTACTATCAGAATTCATTTGGAAAATGTTTATTGAGTACCTACTATGTGTCTGGCATAGTTCTAAGTGCTAAGAATATATGAATGGAGCTTACAATCTAGTTGAAAAGACAATAAGCAAAAAAGATACTAAAAAACTTCATATCAAATGTTAGAAAATGGTAACATGCTATGGAAAATAAAAAATAGAGCAGGTAAGAGAAGATGGAGGGAGAGTCCTAGGTAAGGGGTGCAGATTGCAGTATTAAATAGGATGTCTAAGAGAGCAGCTGTGCGGGTGTGTGAGGGGGGAAAGAATGTTAGGCAGAGGGCAAAAAGCTCTAAAGCAGAAAGAGTGTAGTGCATTGTTGAGGAAATGCAGGGAAGCCAGGGTGGCTGGCAGAGCAGCCTGAAAGAGAGTACTAAGGAAGTAGGTCAGAAACTTCAGTGGGGTCAGTGGGAGGGTCAGATCACGTAGGACACCTGCTGATCACTTAAAGGCCTTACTCATCTATTCTTAGTGAACTGAAACACTGCAGAACTTTTTTGCAGATCTTCATTTTAAGAAGATTTCTGGCTGCTGTGTTGAGAACAGACTGCAGTGAGGGGCAGGGAAAAGCTATTCTAAGTTTTTTGGAATCATCAGGTGAGAGACAATGATGGCTTAGTCTGAGGTAGTGGAGGTGGTGAGAAGTTATCAGAAGCTGGTTATGTTTTTAAAGTAGAAACACCAAGATTTGCAGGAGGAGTGAATGTGATGTCAGGGAAGAGAGGACTCCAAGGGAATTCTTGGGTTTTCAGCTTGGGCAATTGAAAGGATGGAGGTGTCATGTGAGATAGAGGAAGCCACAGTAGAGGTTGGCAGAAGAAGGAGCAGGGTTGAGAGAGGTCAAGAGTTCACGTTCGGACATGTTCAGATGTCTCCCAGAGCACAGTTTCTGTCTTTAACTTACATAGTCACTCAGCATCTCTAAATAGGAAGAATCTTGTCTTAGGGCAGCCGGGAGGTTTAGGCATTGGGCACACAGAATCTGAAGTAGAATTATAGCAGTGGAAAACCAGTTACGAATGGTCTCCCACTTACAGTAGTTCATGGTAACGATGTCTTACTTTACCGTGCTCCTGACAGCAGTACACACTCAATGGAGATTGTATTTCAAATTTTGGATTTTTGTCTTTTCCTGGGGTAGTGATTTGCTGTGTGATACTCCCTAGTGATGCTGGGCAGCAGCAGCAAATCACAGCTTGCAGTCAGCCACGTGATCACAACATGCACAGTAGATACTCTACAGTGTACTGTGTTGCCAGCATTTTTCTGGATGCTCTTAGTTTTTGTGTTTTCTCATCTCATCATGTCGACAAAACACCCATCTATGTGTAATATTCAATACTTTACTACAAAACAGGCTTTGTGTTGGATGATTTTTGTCCAACTCTAGGCTAATGGAAGTGTTCTGAGCATGTTTCAAGTAGGTTAGGCTAATCTATGATGTTGGGTAGTCTAGGTGTATTAAATGCATTTTTGCCTTATAATATTTCTGACTTACGATGGTTGTATTGGAATGTAACACAGTCATAAGTCGAGGAGCACCTGTAATGACAAATAGTACCAGTATCAAAAAGGAAGATCAGTTTATGTTTCAGCCTGGGTGATGGAAAATTATGAAAGCCAGGAGGAGGAATGAATTTTAGGGGGAAAATACTGAGTTTGGTTTTAGGGGTGGTCCAGTAATTCAACCAGGTAGAAATATTCACTATGTGTTTAGACACGTGTGTCTTAAAGTAGAACTGCAAGGTGAAAAAAGTTTGGATTTTGATATTGGTAAACTGAGAGATGATTGCTGAAAACATGTAAACTGTTAGAAAACTAAGCAGAGACCCTTGGGTGAATGATTTCTCTCAGTGTAAAGGGCCAATAAAGAGCTAATCTGGGGCTGGATACGGTGGATCAAGCCCGTAATCCCAGCACTTTGGGAGGCCGAGGCGGGCGGATCACTTGAGGTCAGGAGTTCGAGATCAGCTTGGCCAACATGGTGAAACCCCATCTCTACTAAAATTAGAAAAATAAGCTGGGCATGGTGGTGCACGCCTGTAATCACAGCAACTTGGGTGGCTGAGGCATGACAATCACTTGAACCCAGCAGGCAGAGGTTACGGTGAGCCGAGATCGCGCCACTGCACTCCAGCCTGGGTGACAGAGCGAGACTGTCTCAAACAAACAAACAAACAAAAACACAGCTAATCTGAGTAAAGAATTGGAACTATAAAGAGATAGAAATGGCAGTTGATAGTTGCTAATGATGGAGATAGGACACAGCAGATAAGCACTGAGAAAAGACTTGAAGTTTTCAACGGAGATAAATTAGTTTCTTCCAAAAGAGCAGAGTCAGCAGACAACCCTACCCTATTTTTTCTTGGTGTCCAATACCATTTATCCTTTAAAGCCCAGCTCAGATGTATGCCAAATAATAGTTAATGTTTGTTGAAAGCTTATAGGTCTCATATTATGCTAATATTAGATGAACTTATTATTAATTCCTACATCAATTCTATGATGTAGATACTGTTTCCCACTTAACTGTTGAAGACTAGCGAGTTTAATTAATTTGTCCAAGTTTGTGTAGTTAATGGTACGAAAAAATAATTGAATCTACGCACACCAGTGTCAGAGAATCCATACTTTAGGCTCATGTTTGTTGACATCTTCCTAGTTATTCAGTAACAGAATTTAATCATGTTTAGAGTGACTGGCTCTTGGGGCAGTGGATACTAAGAGTTACAGGCAGTTTATATTGTCAAAAAGCTTATAATCTAGGTAAGGATAAGTGATATTTGTCATTTTCTTAAAATGATAAGTAATACTGTAAGATAGTCTATGGTAAGTGACACATGAGGGATATGGTAATAAGTAAAGAGAATAGAGAGGATGAAATGGTCAGTCTAGGGCGAGGTGTTATGGAAGGTTTCATGGAAGGAATAATATTTGATCTGGACCTTCAAGGATCAGTACTATTGTGACTGCAGGTGATGCATATGGATAGAGGTAAAATAAGTGAGGAAAGTATTTCAGATAGCAAGAACAGCTGGAGCAAAGGCATAAATAAATGAAAGAGTTAAGATGTGTGTTTGGGGAAAATTATATAGTCCAGTTGAGGTGGTTAATGTGGCCAGAATGGGTGAAGGATTGGAAAGGAAGACTAAGGTCAGGCTGTAAATAATCTTGAGTGGAGAACCATAGAAAGCTGTGAGTTCGCACTGGGTTTTGTTTAAAATAGAACTCTGTAGTTCTCAATTATTTACTTCTTGTTTTAAATATATCCATATTTAAAGAAACATTTTATTTTATTCTTAGAATGCCAGTTAATGAAAACAGAACGACCAAAGCCAAACACATTTATAATCAGATGTCTCCAGTGGACTACTGTTATAGAGAGAACATTTCATGTAGATACTCCAGAGGAAAGGTAAGAAATTCACTTGTTTTCATTTTGTGAAAAAGCAACACTCAATCTAAAGATGTATTTGTATCTGACTTTATTATTTGTAAATATATATAAATATATTTTTTTAAATGCTATAGTCTCTAAATTCTTGCTTCTGGCATAATACATGAATAACAGTGGCTTACAAAATAATATTTAATATATCAGAACCTCTGGGCATGCTAGAAGATATACTTTCAGAGAAACAGAACATTTAAAGGTTAAAATATAAATTTAAAAAGACATTTTTGGCCTGGCGCGGTGGCTCACGCCTGTAATCCCAGCACTCTGGGAGGCTGAGGCAGGTGGATCACAAGGTCAGGAGATCGAGACTATCCTGGCTGACAAGGTGAAACCCTGTCGCTACTAAAAAAACACACACACAAAAAATCAGCCAGGCGTGGTGGCGGGCGCCTGTAGTCCCAGCTACTCAGGAGGCTGAGGCAGGAGAATGGCATGAACCCAGGAGGTGGAGCTTGCAGTGAGCCGAGATTGCGCCACTGCACTCCAGCCTGGGCGACAGAGCGAGACTCTGTCTCAAAAAAAAAAAAAAAAAAAAAAAAAAAAAGACATTTTTATAGCCAAACTACCTTTTTTAAAAAATTGTATAATTGATTGTATTCATACTTGAAATTCCAAGGCTAGTGATAGTAAAAGATTTCAAGTAACATGCCATTCTAAATTAGTTGTAAGTGGCTGTCTGGAGCACTAAGTTGCTAAGGATTCTGAGATTGGGTCTAAGGAGCGGGAGAGAGGATTAATTAGCATTGACTGTCATTATTACTAAAGTGGGTAGTGACAACACTGTAGTAACCAACTCATCAACTTCATCAGGTCCACATTTTTATCCTCCTGATCTATCAGTTTTTACAACCACTTCCCAATTCTATATCTGCTCACTCTGATACTGAGTTAGGTCCAGTGACCACAGTCACAAAACCACCATCCTGCACATGTTATTATATTTGATCCTAATCAGCAACTTTGTGAAGTTAAATCTTATTAGCCTTATTTTCCAAATGAATACACAAAGTTTTAACAGTCTTGTCTAAAATTTTAATAAAAGCAAAATGGTAAAGTATTATTTTAATAACACTTTTGATCAGTAGAGTAAATGGTAATGTATGATTGATTAAGAAATATAGAAAAGAGTTAAGCACTGATAATATTTTCTTTTGTGCACTTCCAATCTTACTATGTGCAGACGTAATTAGGCCTTTCATATAGATACAGTTCTGGGTATGGGTCCCCGAACTCTTACCCTGCCTGCACACCCTCCCCTCCCTGCACTGCCTCCCTCCCCGCACACCCTCCCCTCCCCACCATTGATCCTGGGCCTTTTCTCCCTTGATAATTAATACTGAGCTTTCAATTTGTTGATATGTCCACCCATAATCCATAATCACTAAGTTGGGCTAATTCCTATGTATCTTTTCAGATCTGAGCTTAAAATGTTATTTTTCCTACAAAACCTCTGACTCTAATAGACTAGGCAGGTTCCCCTGCTAGGTACTTAGATATTTTTCTTTGTACCTTTTCTATCAATCATATTATAACTGTAATCCTTGTTTGCCATTCTCACTAAACTTGAAGATTCTTGACAGCAAAGATGATGGCTTCCTTGCTCATTTAAAACATCTTTTGCACATAGTCCATGGCCCAACACAGTATTTATTGACTGGCTGGATGAATGGTACTTTTCCCATGTCAATATATATTCTTTGAAAATGTTATTCTTAGTGGATTTTTAACATCTGTTGAAGCACAATTCATTTTGCCATTTGTGTTTACAAAGCTGGATTTCTGTCAGATCTTAAGACTCTAAAATCCTCTGCTGTTCCTGTAATAATATACTACTCTTCTGAACAATCAGTTTTCATTTGCATTTATAACTATAAGAAAAAACAGTATTAATACAAATGAAAAACAGCATACTCATATTTGCCATTGGTATGTGCATTTCTATATACCTCTAGAATCTGGTGTTTGGACATTCTATATGACTTGATTTTTTTTTCTAAATTTTTATTTTATTTTATTTATTATTATTATACTTTAAGTTTCAGGGTACATGTGCACAATGTGCAGGTTAGTTACATATGTATACATGTGCCATGCTGGTGCGCTGCACCCACTAACTCGTCATCTAGCATTAGATATATCTCCCAATGCTATCCCTCCCCCCTCCCCCCACCCCACAACAGTCCCCAGAGTGTGATGTTCCCCTTCCTGTGTCCATGTGTTCTCATTGTTCAGTTCCCACCTATGAGTGAGAATATGTGGTGTTTGGTTTTTTGTCCTTGCGATAGTTTACTGAGAATGATGATTTCCAATTTCATCCATGTCCCTACAAAGGACATGAACTCATCATTTTTTATGGCTGCATAGTATTCCATGGTGTATTTATGCCACATTTTCTTCATCCAGTCTATCATTGTTGGACATTTGGGTTGGTTCCAAGTCTTTGCTATTGTGAATAGTGCCACAATAAACATACATGTGCATGTGTCTTTATAGCAGCATGATTTATAGTCCTTTGGGTATATACCCAGTTATGGGATGGCTGGGTCAAATGGTATTTCTAGTTCTAGGTCCCTGAGGAATGGCCACACTGACTTCCACAATGGTTGAACTAGTTTACAGTCCCACCAACAGTGTAAAAGTGTTCCTATTTCTCCACATCCTCTCCAGCACCTGTTGTTTCCTGACTTTTTAATGATTGCCATTCTAACTGGTGTGAGATGGTATCTCATTGTGGTTTTGATTTGCATTTCTCTGATGGCCAGTGATGGTGAGCATTTTTTCATGTGTTTTTTGGCTGCATAAATGTCTTCTTTTGAGAAGTGTCTGTTCATGTCCTTCGCCCACTTTTTGATGGGGTTGTTTGTTTTTTTCTTGTAAATTTGTTTGAGTTCATTGTAGATTCTGGATATTAGCTCTTTGTCAGATGAGTAGGTTGTGAAAATTTTCTCCCATTTTGTAGGTTGCCTGTTCACTCTGATGGTAGTTTCTTTTGCTGTGCAGAAGCTCTTTAGTTTAATTAGATCCCAT
This sequence comes from Homo sapiens, assembly GCF_000001405.40. Taxonomy (NCBI): domain Eukaryota; kingdom Metazoa; phylum Chordata; class Mammalia; order Primates; family Hominidae; genus Homo; species Homo sapiens. Next base: position 243,661,702 of record NC_000001.11, on the reverse strand, counting down.
TTGTCAATTTTGGCTTTTGTTGCCATTGCTTTTTGTGTTTTAGACATGAAGTCCTTGCCCTTGCCTATGTCCTGAATGGTAATGCCTAGGTTTTCTTCTAGGGTTTTTATGGTTTTAGGTCTAACGTTTAAGTCTTTAATCCATCTTGAATTGATTTTTGTATAAGGTGTAAGGAAGGGATCCAGTTTCAGCTTTCTACATATGGCTAGCCAGTTTTCCCAGCACCATTTATTAAATAGGGAATCCTTTCCCCATTGCTTGTTTTTCTCAGGTTTGTCAAAGATCAGATAGTTGTAGATATGCGTCATTTCTGAGGGCCCTGTTCTGTTCCATTGATCTATATCTCTGTTTTGGTACCAGTACCATGCTGTTTTGGTTACTGTAGCCTTGTAGTGTAGTTTGAAGTCAGGTAGCATGATGCCTCCAGCTTTGTTCTTTTGGCTTAGGATTGACTTGGCAATGCAGGCTCTTTTTTGGTTCCATATGTACTTTAAAGTAGTTTTTTCCAATTCTGTGAAGAAAGTCATTGGTAGCTTGATGGGGATGGCATTGAATCTGTAAATTACCTTGGGCAGTATGGCCGTTTTCACGATATTGATTCTTCCTACCCATGAGCATGGAATGTTCTTCCATTTGTTTGTATCCTCTTTTATTTCTTTGAGCAGTGTTTTGTAGTTCTCCTTGAAGAGGTCCTTCACATCCCTTGTAAGTTGGATTCCTAGGTATTTTATTCTCTTTGAAGCAGTTGTGAATGGGAGTTCACTCATGATTTGGCTCTCTGTCTGTTGTTGGTGTATAAGAATGCTTGTGATTTCTGTACATTGATTTTGTATCCTGAGACTTTGCTGAAGTTGCTTATCAGCTTAAGGAGATTTTGGGCTGAGACAGTGGGGTTTTCTAGATATACAATCATGTCATCTGCAAACAGGGACAATTTGACTTCCTCTTTTCCTGATTGAATACCCTTTATTTCCTTCTTCTGCCTAATTGCCCTGGCCACAACTTCCAACACTATGTTGAACAGGAGTGGTGAGAGAGGGCATCCCTGTCTTGTGCCAGTTTTCAAAGAGAATGCTTCCAGTTTTTGCCCATTCAGTATGATATTGGCTGTGGGTTTGTTATAGATAGCTCTTATTATTTTGAGATACATCCCATCAATACCTAATTTATTGAGAGTTGTTAGCATGAAGGGTTGTTGAATTTTGTCAAAGGCCTTTTCTGCATCTATTGAGATAATCATGTGGTTTTTTTCTTTGGTTCTGTTTATATGCTGGATTACGTTTATTGATTTGCGTATATTGAACCAGCCTTGCATCCCAGGGATGAAGCCCACTTGATCATGGTGGATAAGCTTTTTGATGTGCTGCTGGATTCGATATCACCACAGATCCCACAGAAATACAAACTACCCTCAGAGAATACTACAAACACCTCTACGCAAATAAACTAGAAAATCTAGAAGAAATGGATAAATTCCTCGACACATACACTCTCCCAAGACTAAACCAGGAAGAAGTTGAATCTCTGAATAGACCAATAACAGGAGCTGAAATTGTGGCAATAATCAATAGCTTACCAACGAAAAAGAGTCCAGGACCAGATGGATTCACAGCCGAATTCTACCAGAGGTACAAGGAGGAACTGGTACCATTCCTTCTGAAACTATTCCAATCAATAGAAAAAGAGGGAATCCTCCCTAACTCATTTTATGAGGCCAGCATCATCCTGATACCAAAGCCTGGCAGAGACACAACCAAAAAAGAGAATTTTAGACCAATATCCTTGATGAACATTGATACAAAAATCCTCAATAAAATAGTGGCAAACTGAATCTATATGACTTTAGTGTAATATCATTGAAGACTTAGAGAGGGTTAGTGTGAGTTAGAAAAACTCTCTATTTTTAATATTCTGCCCAGTCTAAAATTTTTACCTGTCATAAACTAAATCTGTATATCTCTCACCTGTCTTATATTTATTTCAGTACATGATATAAGGGTGGACTCTATTTTTTTCTCAATGGCGAGCCCATCATCTCATCTCCATTTATTAGATAATCCATTTTTTTCTCACTGATTGTGGATAACACATATACATATTTGCGCTTTTAGGATTTAGTCTTTTTTTCCCCTTTGACCTTTCTGTACTCTAGCATTAACACCACATGGCCTTAATTAGAGAAACTATAAAATTTTTAACTGTTAATATAGCAACATATCCCTTATTTTTTTTAACAAAAATGTTCTTAGCTACATTAGTGCATTCTTTTAAAAAATTATGGTAAAAATTACATAATGTGAAATCCTCTTTCATTTTTAAGGGTATAATAGAGTATTGTTAACTATGTGCATATTATTGTACAGCAGATCTCTAGAACGTTTTCATCTGGCATGACTGAACCTCTGTTCCCATTGAACAGTAGCTCTCCATTCCCATACCCCCAGCCCCTGGAAACCACCGTTCTACTTTCTGCTTCTGTGAATTCGACTACTTTAGACACATCACATAAGTGGAATCATACAGTGTTTGTCCTGTTACTGTCTTACTTCCCTTAGTATAATGTCTTCAAAGTTAATCCATGTTACAGCATATTAGAGGATTTTCTTCTTTTTTAAGGCTGAATAATATTCCATTGTATGTATATAACACAATTGCCTTCTTTCTTTTTTTTTTGAGACAAGGTCTTGCTCTGTCAGCCAGGCTGTAGTGCAGTGGTGTGATCATGGCTTACTGCAGCCTGGAACTCAGGCCCAAGGGATCCTCCCAGCTTAGCCTCCCCAGTAGCTGGGACTACAGCCACACACGCAACTAAGTTAATTTTTTTTTTTTTTTTTTTTTGTAGAGACAAGGTTTCTCTGTGTTGCCAGGGCTTGTCTGGAACTCCTGGCCTCAAGCAATACTCCTCCCTCGGCTGGAATTACAGGCATGAGCCACACTGCCGGCCAATACATTTTCTTTATTCATTCATCTGCTGATGGATATTTAGATTGTTTCCACCTCTTGGCTATTGCGAATAGTGCAACAATGAGCATGAGAGGGCAGATATTTGTTTAAGTTCCTCATTTCACTTTGTTTGAATAAATATCCAGAAATGTGATTGCTGGTTCATTTGGTAGTTCTACTTTTAAGTTTTTGAAGAATCTTCATACTGTTTTCTGTAGCAGCTACGTTATTTTACATTCCCAACAATAGTGTACAAGGTTTTAATTTCTCCACATCCTTGCTGACACTTACTTATTTATTTTTTATGTTGTTGTTTTTTTAAAAACAACAGCCATACTAGCAGGTGTAAGGTGATATTTCATCGTGGTTTTGATTTGTACTTCCCTGATAATTTGTAATGCTAAGCATTTTTCAAATACCTGTGTATCATTTGTATGTCTACTTTGAAGAAATGTCTATTCAAGTCTTTTGCCAAGTTTTTACTTGTGTTTCTGTTTTTTGTTTTCGCTACTGAGTTATAGGAGTTCCCTATACATTTTGAATATTAAGCCCTTATCAGACATATGGTTTGGAAATATATTCTCTCATTCTGTAGTTTTCTGTTTTGTTCTGTTGTTTGCTGTGCAGAAGCTTTTTATTTTGATATACTTCTACTCATCTATTACTGCTTTTGTCAGCATCAAGAAATCATTTCTAAAGACCAAATTATGAAGCTTTTCTCCTGTGGTTTTTTCCTAGGAGTTTGTAGTTTCATGTCTTATATTTATTCTTTGATCCATTTTGAGTTGGTTTTGTGTGTGGTGTAAAATAAGGCTCCACTTTTGTTCTTTTGCATGTTGATACCCAGTTTTCTCAGCAGCATTATATTTCCACATTGTGTTAGTTGTGACGCCCTTGTCAAAGATCATTTGACTGTATATATATATGGTTTTATTACCTGGGCTCTCTGTTCTGTTCCATTAGTCTATATGTCTTTATGCCAGTACCAATCTGTTTTAATTACTGAAGCTTTAGAATGCATTTTGAAGTCAGGAGGTATGAAGCCCTCAGCTTTTTGCTTTCTCAAGATTGTTTCAGCTGTTTGGGATTCTTTATGGTTTCCATACGAATTTTAGGATTTTTTTTTTCTGTTTCCGCAAAAATGCTGTAGGATTTTGAAAAGGATTGCATTGAATCTGTAGCTTACTTTGTGGTGTTGACATCTTAACAATATTAAACCTTTCAGTGCATGAACATGGGATGTCTTTCCATTTATTTGTGTCTCCTTTCATTTCTTTCAGCAATGTTTTGTAGTTTTCAGTGTACAAATCTTTCACCTTCTTGGTTAAGTTTATTCCTAAAGTACTTTATTCTTTTTTATGCTTTTGTAAATGGGATTTGCCTTAGTCCCTTTGGGCTGCTACAACAAACTATCATAAACTGAGTAGCTTATAAACAATAGAAATTTATTTCTTACAGTTCTGGAGGCCAGGTGTTTAAGTTCAAGGTGCTGGCAAATTCAGTGTCTAGAGAGGGCCCTCTTCACGGTTCATAGAAGGTGTCTTTCCCCTGTATTGTCACCTAGTAAAAGTGCCAAAGGAACTCTCTGAGGACTTTTCTATAAATGCACTAATTTAATCTATGAGTTCTATCATGACCTCATGAAGGCCCACTTCCTAATACCATCACCTTTGGGGTTAAGTAACCCAAAACATTTATTCTTTGTAGACCTAGTATCTGCAGACAATAACAATTTTATCTCTTCATTTCTGATAGTTTTATGTATTATTTCTGTGTGTTTTAAAGCAATGTTTAATAATTTTGATCATAGCACATATACCTTTTTTCTTAATTTATTGGATACACCACTAATTTACTGTTAAATATGATTTGTATATGTACTTTATTATGCTGCACATGACCATCCACAATATAGACAAAGGTCATTTTTCTTTCTTAACAGCTAACTACTTTCACTGTCACAACCATGGCCACGACACTCACACTCACATACAGAGACACATGTGCATGCGCACACGTATGCCTCGCCCCCAACATGTTCCAGATACATTGAACTCCTTGTTGTTTCCCAAGTACTAATGCTATACTGTGCTCTTACATTACCTGTAGCTCTTTCCTTCTTGCCCTTTTGTCCCTACTGCTAGGAACACCTCGTATCCTTTGCTTGTCTCTTGCTCATCCTGGTAAGTACCAATTCATTTTTCACATCTACATTCAAGAATTACCTTTCTTTTTGGGTCCCCATCACAAACTTTTATTATTGTTAGAACACCACTGTACTTAGCGTATACTTGTATCATTTTACCCATAACATTTTATTATACTTCCCCACAATACCAAGGCTCCCCCATCAGACTGTAAGTTCTTCCTAAGCCATTCCTTTTTTAAACTTTAGTAGCACACATGTATTAGACATTTAATTAAATATTTATTAGTAAGTAACTAATCAGTTGGTGAAAATTGATTTTTGTATGAAGTAGTATATGTACTTTTAAAAGATTAATGTACTTGTTTCATAGGGGTCTCCATTCTGTTTTTCAAATTAATTACATTTTTAAACATTATTTAGGAATAAAAAGATTGGATGCCCTCTTTCAATTAGTCAGGTACTTTGGCCTGATACTTTTTTGCAGGAATTACCCCCCCACACCCCCCCGCCACACCCTCACCAAATGGTGTAGGGTTATAGTTTAAGTATCATGAATTATGGTGAATTATGTAATTTGGGTCAGTAGTCCAGCTAACTACCACTAGTGAAGCTGGAAAAGACTTTTGTTTGTTTTTGTTTTTTAAAAAGACACCAGAGAGCTGATAAGGCTAAGATTTATTGGGCCAAAACTGTATTGAAGAAAGAAACCCAGACAGTGAACCTACTTTTCCTTTTGGGTTACCTGCTAGTTCTTGAAGTGGTATTGGAGATGGAGAGATTTTGAGTAGCTCCCAGAGCTGGGAGTGATATTTTGGAATCTAGGATCTGCCAAAGAGGAGACATGGTAAACCACTACATTTTGGTATTGGTAGCTTAAAGGACTGTACCCTGTAAGAAAGAGTAAACTGGAAATAGATTTGCTTTGAGAGGATTGACATATAACTATAAATTATTTCAGTCCTGAAATTGAGTGAAGGTGATTCAACTTTGCTAGTTTTCTAGGAGCTTGCTAAAAGCAAATGTAAACTCACTCTAACAGAAGATTATATCTTCCTAGACCTCACATTACCTCAGTTTTCATGTGTTGTGTCCAGGACTTGTTAAAAAATGAGTACACAAAAATTCAACACTATGTGGCCAAAATAATAGAGGAAAAAAAAACAGACAATAGAATCATATTCATAGGAACTCTAGATAAAAGAACTATACATTAATTAGTATGTTCAAGTATGTTAAAATTGTTTGATTCTACAGAGGGAAAGTATAAAAAAGAAACAAATGGATAATAGCTTTCATTTGTAATCAAGGTAAAATTAAAAAGAAAGAGCCCCATAGAAATTCTAAAATTGAAAACAAAACATTTGGAATTATGAGTTCTAGCAGATGGCTTTAATAGCAAACTAGACCTCACATTAGAGAAAATTAGCGAACTCAAAAATACGTCAGAACAGAACGTTTATAGTGAAACATGCAAAGATAAGAGGATAGAAAATAAAAATAATTAAGAATAGAATGTAAGATAAAAACAATGCGGTGAGCATGTCTTACATATATATAACTGGAGCCTTAGAAGGAGAGGAGAGAATAGAGCAAAAAGTATTTGAAAATATAATGATTGAAATTTTTTAAAAAATAGTTAAAGATACCAAACCATAGTTTCAAAAGTCCTATAAATCTCAAGTAGGAAAAATATGAAGAAAATCCCTAATCTCATTAGACTATTAAAAAACAAAGATAGTGGGAAAATCCCCAATGTAGACAGAGAAAAAAATGTTTGCTTTCAGAGCAGCAGCATGTAGACCAAAAGATAATGTCAATATGTGGGATGGAATAATAATGAAATATAATTGAATAATGTTCCCAAATAATGGAATATTTCCAAAGATGATGAAATGATATCCCCAAAGTTCTGAAAGAAAATGAGTGCTAAGAAACAACTATTTTCCATGAATAAAAGTAAAATGAAAATATTTTCAGTAAAAAATTGAAAGAGGCTGGGCATTGTGTCTTATGCCTATAATCCCAGCACCTTGGAAGGCTGAGGCAGGAGGATCACTTGAGCCCAGGAGCTCAAGACCAGCCTGGGCAACATAGTGAGATCCTGTCTCTACTCCCTTCACCCTCCAATAATTTGATAAGATTTGTCACTAGCACACCTATAATAACTAACCTAGTATTCTTTGGACACAATAAGAATAATCTCAGGAGGATAAGTACAGAATGGAATGAAAAACAAAATGCTTAAATAAACCAATAAATAAAAGTAAGCATTGATTTTTAAATAATTTATGTTGTGTTTTAATTATATAAGTGAAAAATATCTGAAGTAATATAAATTGAGATCCTGACAAAAATGGAGTTAATTTTTTGTGAGGTTGCTGTATTTTCTGGTAAGAGTTAAAAGTATGGACATTTTAGACTTTGCAAAGTCAAAGTTAAATATTATAATTTAAGTTACAATTACTAAAAAGACAGTGAGAGTATGATGGCTACCAGGCTAATTGGAGGAGAAATGGAATTAGAAATTATTCTGGCATATATTACATAAGTGGACCATGTAAAGCTAAGGATATATATAAAAATAATTGCAAAAAAAGACGACTGAAAAGCCAACAGGAAAATTAAAATGGAATTCTGAAAAAGTGCAAAATAATTTAAAAAACAGGCAGGAAAGGAGAAAAAGATAAAGATACAGGTTGAAAATAAATAGATTGAAAAAGATTGATCATGGAAACAGTAAGCATAAGAAGAATGGATTGCCGTATTATATCATTTCAAATTAAATGTATTACCATAGATTACTAGGATACTTTATAATGAGAAAAGTTTCTGTTGAACAGGATGATATAGCAGTCATCAACACATGTAACAGAATTAAAGGGATAAAAATGGGCAATTTCACAACCATATTTGGAGATTTAAAAATTCTCAGCACTTGGTAGAGGAGCTACACAAAAAACTAGCTAAGGCATAGAATAACATTGTCAACCACCTTGATATACCTAGTATTTATAGAACACTACACTCAAAAGTGGCAGAAGAGACGTTATTTTCAAGTAAGCATGGTACATTGATCAGGATGGAACATATTCTTATCAGGATAATGCAGTCCTCATAAAATGAGTTAGGGAGGATTCCCTCTTTTTCTATTGTTTGGAATAGTTTCAGAAGGAATGGGACCAGCTCCTCTTTGTACCTCTGGTAGAATTCAGCTGTGAATCCATCTGGTCCTGGACTTTTTGTGGTTGGTAGGCTGTTAATTGCTGCCTGAATTTCAGAACTTGTTGTTGGTCTATTCAGGGATTCAACTTCTCCTTGGTTTAGTCTTGGGAGGTTGTATGTGTCCAGGAATTTATCCATTTCTTCTAGATTTTCTAGTTTATTTGCATAGAGATGTTTATAGTATTCTCTGATGGTAGTTTGTATTTCTGTGGGATTGACGGTGATATCCCCTTTATCATTTTTTATTGTGTCTATTTGATTTTTCTCTCTTCTTTATTAGTCTGGCTAGAGGTCTATCTATTTTGTTGATCTTTTCAAAAAACCAGCTCCTGGATTCATTGATTTTTTTTTTGAAGGGTTTTTTCATGTCTCTTTCTCCCACTATTATTGTGTGGGAGTCTAAGTCTCTTTGTAGGTCTCTAAGAACTTGCTTTATGAATCTGGGTGCTCCTGTGTTGGATGCGTCTATATTTAGGATAGTTAGCTCTTTTTGTTGCATCGATCCCTTTACCATTATGTAATGCCTTTCTTTGTCTCTTATGATCTTTGTTGGTTTAAAGTCTGTTTTATCAGAGATTAGGATTGCAACTCCTGCTTTTTTTTTTTTTTTTTTTTTTGCTTTCTATTTGCTTGGTAAATATTCCTTCTTCCCTTTATTTTGAGCCTGTGTGTGTCTTTGCATGAGAGATGGATCTCCTGAATACAGCACATTGATGGATCTTGACTCTTTATCCAATTTGCCAGTCTGTGTCTTGTCATTGGGGCATTTAGCCCATTTACATTTAAGGTTAGTATTGTCACATGTGAATTTGATGCTTTATGATGCTAGCTGGTTAGTTTGACCATTAGTTGATGCAGTTTCTTCATAGTGTTGATGGTCTTTTCAATTTAGCATGTTTTTGCAGTGGCTGGTATCAGTTGTTCCTTTGCGTGTTTAGTGCCCTGTAGTGGTGACAAAACCTCTCAGCATTTGCTTGTCTGTAAAGCATTCTATTTCTCCTTCACTTACGAAGCTTAGTTTGGCTGGATATGAAATTCTGGGTTGAAAATTCTTTTCTTGCCTGTAATTCCAGCACTATGGGAGGCCAAGGCGGGTGGATCACCTGAGGTCAGGAGTTCGAGATCAGCCTGGCCAACATGGCAAAACCCCAACTCTACCAGAAATACAAAAAAATTAGCCAAGCATGGGGGCAGACACCTGTACTCCTAGCTACTTGGGATTCTGAGGCAGACAATCTCTTGAACCCAGGAGGCAGAGGTTGCAGTGAGCCAAGATTGCACTACTGCACTGCAGCCTGGGTGACAGAGTGAGACTCCGTCTCAGAAAAAAAAAAAAAAAAAGAATTCTTTTCTCTAAGGATGTTGAGTATTGGCCCCCACTCTCTTCTGGCTTGTAGGGTTTCTGCAGAGAGATCCGCTGTTAGTCTGATGAGCTTCCCTTTGTGGGAAACCCTACCTTTCTCTCTGGCTGCCCTCAACATTTTTTCCTACATTTTGACTTTGGTGAAACCTGGCAGAGACGCAACAAAAAAGGAAAATGTCAGGCCAGTATCCCTGATGAACATCTATGCAAAAATCCTCAGTAAAATACTGGCAAACTGAATCCAGCAGCACATCAGAAAGCTTATCCACCACGATCAAGTCAGCTTCATCCCTGGGATGCAAGGCTGGTGCAACATACACAAATCAATAAACGTAATCCATCACATAAACAGAACCAATGACAAAAACCACATGATTATCTCAATAGATGCAGAAAAGGCTTTCAACAAAACTCAACTCCCCTTCATGCTAAAAACTCTCAATAAACTAAGTATCGATGGAATGTATCTCAAAATAATAACAGCTATTTAAGACAAACTTACAGCAAATATCATACTGAATGGGCAAAAACTGGAAGCATTCCCTTTGAAAACTGGCACAATACAAGGATGCCCCCTCTCACCACTCCTATTCAACATAGTATTGAAAGTTCTGGCCAGGGAAATCAGGTAAGAGAAAGAAATAAAGGATATTCAAATAGGAAGAGAGGAAGTCAAATTGTCTCTGTTTGCAGATGACATGATCGTATGTTTAGAAAACCCCGTTGTCTCAGCCCCAAATCTCCTTAAGCTGATATGCAACTTCGGCAAAGTCTCAGGATACAAAATCAAGGTGCAAAAATCACAAGCATTCCTATACACCAATAATAAACAGCCAAACCATGAGTGAACTCCCATTCACAATTGCTGCAAAGAGCTTAAAGTACCTAGGAATCCAAATTACAAGGTATGTGAAGGACCTCTTCAAGGAGAACTACAAACCACTGCTCAAGGAAATAAGAGGACACAAACAAATGGAAAAACAACCCGTGCTCATGGATAGGAAGAATCAATATCAAGAAAATGGTCATACTGCCCAAAGTAATTTATAGGTTCAGTGCTATCCCCATCAAGCTACCATTGACTTTTTTCACAGAACTGGAAAAAACTACTTTAAACTTCATATGGAACCAAAAAATAGCCCGCATAGCCAAGACAATCCTGAGCAAAAAGAACAAAGCTGGAGGCATCATGCTGCCTGACTTCAAACTATACTACAAGGCTACAGTAACAAAAACAGCATGCTACTAGTACCAAAACAGAGATACAGACCAATGGAACAGAACAGAGGCCTCAGAAATAATACCACACATCTACAACCATCTGATCTTTGATAAACCTGACAAAAAGCAATGGGGAAAGGATCCCCTATTTAATAAATGGTGTTGGGAAAACTGGCTAGCCATATGCAGAAAACTGAAACTGACCCCTTACTGACACCTTATACAAAAATCAACCCAAGATGGATTAAAGACTTAAATGTAAGACCTAAAACCATAAAAACCCTAGAAGAAAACCTAGGCAGTACCATTCAGGACATAGGCATGGGCAAAGACTTCATGTCTAAAACACCAAAAGCAATGGCAACAAAAGCGAAAATTGACAAATGGGATTTAATTAAACTAAAGAGCTTCTGCACAGCAAAAGAAACTATCATCAGAGAGAACAGGCAGCCTACAGAATGGGAGAAAATTTTTGCAATCTATTCGTCTGACAAAGGGCTAATATCCAGAATCTACAAAGAACTTAAACAAATTTATAAGAAGAAAACAACCCCATCAAAAAGTGGGCAAAGGATATGAACAGACACTTCTCAAAAGACATTTATGCAGCCAACAAATGTATGAAAAAATGCTCATCATCACTGGTCATTAGAGAAATGCAAATCAAAACACAATGAGATACCATCTCACACCAGTTAGAATGGCAATCATTAAAAAGTCAGGAAACAACAGATGCTGGAGAGGATATGGAGAAATAGGAATGCTATTACACTATTGGTGGGAGTGTAAATTAGTTCAACCATTGTGGAAGACAGTGTGGCCATTCCTCAAGGATCTAGAACTAGAAATACCATTTGACCTAGCAATCCCATTAGTGGGTATATACCCAAAGGATTATAAATCATTCTACCATAAAGACACATGCACACGTATGTTTATTGCGGCACTATTCACAATAGCAAAGACTTGGAACCAACCCAAATGTCCATCAGTGATAGACGGGATAAAAAAAGTGTGGTACATATACACCATGGAATACTATGCAGCCATAAAAAAGGATGAGTTCATGTCCTTTGCAGGCACATGGATGAAGCTGGAAACCATCATTCTCAACCAACTATCACAAGAATAGAAAACCAAACATCCCATGTTCTCATTCATAAGTGGGAGTTGAACAATGAGAACACATGGACACAGGGAGGGGAACATCACATACTGGGGCCTGTCAGGGAGTTGGGGGCTAGGGGAGGGATAGCATTAGCAGAAATAACCTAATATAGGTGACGGATTGATGGGCACAGCAAACCGCCATGACACATGTATACCCATGTAAGAAAACTGCACATTCTGCACATGTACCCCAGAACTTAAAGTGTGTATGTATGTGTGTATGTGTATATATATATACACATAACATATATATATACACACACACACACCCAACATACACACACACACACACACACACACACACACACACACACACACACATATACACATAACATATTCTTGGTCATAAAATAATTCTGAGTACATTTTGGAAGATGAAAGTTATATGGTGTATGTTCTGTAATCCACAGAATTAATTAGAAATCAATAACAGTAAGACAATAGATGTCAATTACTGGAAATTAACATAATTTTTTATAATCATTGGGTCAAAAAACTCACAAGAGCCATTAGAAAATAATTTTAAATGAACAATAATGAAAATAATACATATCAAAATTTGTGGGGTGTAGCTAAATGAATGCTTAGAAGGAAATTTGTAGCCTTAAATACCTGTATTTGAAAAGAAGAAATTTCTCACATCGTTAACTTAAGCTTGTATCTTAAGAAACCAGAAAAATAAACCAAAAGAAAACAGAAACAACAGCAATCAGAAATTAGTGAAATAGAAAACAGAAAAATAGTAGAGAATAATTAATAAAACCAAAAGTACTCTTTGAAAAAAATTAATAGAATTGAAAAACGTTTTGGGGTATTGTTAAAGGAAAAAGAGGGAAGACACAAATTACTGACATCCAAGAAAACATTAGAAAACCCAATATCAATGAATGGAAGTGAATTAGTAATTAAGAACCTTTCCTCAAAGGTTCCAAGCCCAGACAGCCTTATTGGTGCGTTCTGTCAAACATTTAAGTTAGAAATTTGACCAATCCTCTACAAGCTGTTTGAGAAAATAATGAGAAGGGAGTACTTCTCAACTTATTTTATAAGGCCACTGTCACCCTCATTTCAGAAATCAGACAGAACTATTTTAAGAAAAGACAACTATAGCCCAATACACTTGTGAACATATGCAGAATTTCTTAACAAAGTATCAACAAATTAAACAATAGGTAAAAAGCATAAAAGCTTAAGTTATGTGGCCAAATGGAGCTTCTCCCAAGAATTCAAAGTTGTGTTAACATCTGGAAACTATTAAGCTAATTTCACCATATTAATATGATAAAGTTAAAAATCTGTGTGATCATTTTATAGAGATACAGAAAAAGAATTTGACAGTTTTATTTTCTTTTTCTTTTCTTTTCTTTTTTTTTTTTTTAGACGGAGTCTTGCTCTGTCACCCTCACTGGAGTGCCATGGTGTGATTTCAGCTCACTGCAACCTCCATTTCCTGGGTTCAAGTGATTCTCATGTCTCAGTCTCCCGAGTAGCTGGGATTACAGGCTCCTGCCAGCACATCCAGCTAATTTTTGTATTTTTTGTAGAGACGAGGTTTCACCATGTTGGCCAGGCTGGTCTTGAACTCCTGACCTCAGGTAATCCGCCCACCTCAGTCTCCCAAAGTGCTGGGATCACAGGCATGAGCCACTGCACCTGGCCTACATTTGACAAAAATTCAACAAACTTTCATTAAAAATATGCAGATGGCTAGAAATAGAATAGAACTTAGTTGATTAAGTAAATGTTATATAGAAGATCTACAACTTACATAATATTCAAGGGGGATGAAAACAATGTTATTCCTAACTTGTGAAACAAAGCATGTATGCTGCTGTTTACTTTCATTTAACTTTGTACTGCAGGTCTGATCTAGGGCAATAAAGCAAGAAAAAGATGTAAAAAGCATACGGATTGGAAACAAGTAAAGCTGCTCTTGTTTGCATACCACATGGTTGCATGTGTAGAAAATGCAGAAAAATAAGAGTGACTGGAACTAATAAATGAATTTAATAAAGTTGCAGTATACAAAGTCAATATACAAAAATCAATTGTATTTTTAAATACTAATAAGTACAATTAGAAAGTGAAATAAAACCCTCCACAATAGCATAAAAGAACAGTCTTGTGTCACTTAATGACAGTGATACGTTTTGAGAAACATGTCATTAGGAACATTGTGTAAACATACTACTTGGACAAACCTAGATGGTATAGCCCACCCCATACCTAGGCTATTTGGTGTAGCCTGTTGCTCACAGTTTACAAACCTGTACAGCATGTTAGTGTACTGAATACTATAGACAATTGTAATGCAATGGTAAGTATTTATGTATCTAAACATATAAGCATAGGAAGGGTACAGTAAAAATACAGTGTAATAATCTTAGGGGACTGCCATCGTATATGCAGTCCATCATTGACTGAAACATTGTTATGTGGTGCATGATTGTATGTAGGAATAAATTCAGTTAAAGATGTGAAAGATCTTTACACAGAAAATTACAAACATTGCATTGGGAAATTAAAGACCTGTATAAATGTAGAGCTATACCATGTTCATGGATTGGAAGATTTAAATGATTACGATGGTAGTTTTCCCAAAATTCATCTATAGATTTAATGTAATTCCAGTCAAAATCCAAATAGACTTTAAGAAGTAGACAAGCTGATTTTAAAATTCACATGGAAAAATAATGATCCTTGGTCTGATAACCAAATGTCAAAAAATAAATGCTTGATATAAATGCTCCTGAGACTGATTGTTCAAACTACAAGCTGTATCCTTTTTTTTAATTTTTTCTAAGAAATTTACTATGATCTGGAAACAATGAAAGGTTTTGGCTTTGAAAACCTTTCCTTGGAATGTCTGTTGGACCTCATAGAAATCTTCAGGATGTCAATGATGGACTTAAAATAGCTAAGCAAAACACTTCTAAAAACTGCAGCAAACTTTTAGGGGGTCAACTTAATAGTTAGGATTGGCCAAGTGCGGTGGTTCATGGCTGTAATCCCAGCACTTTGGGAGGCCATGGCGGATGGATCACTTGAGGTCAGGAGTTCGAGACCAGCCTGGCCAACATGGTGAAACCCCGTCTCTACTAAAAATACAAAAATTAGTCAGGCATTGTGTCACACGCCTGTAATCCCGGCTACTCAGGAGGCTGAGACAGGAGAATCACTTGAACCCACGAGGTGGAGGTTGCAGTGAGCTGAGATCATGCTATTGAACTCCAGCTTGGGCAACAGAGTGAGACCGTTTCCAAAAAAAAAAAAGTAGGATATATATATGTACAGACAAATAAAATTTAACTTTTCATGTAAATGATTTTAACTCGAGTTTTCAACAATTTTTTTCTTCTCTTTTTTTCTTTAACATACTTCCAAAAAATGCTACTACAGACTTTAGGCATGTGGTGAATGAAATGCTCTTAGGATTATTTTCACTTTGGGGTGATGGTGAGAGTGTATGCTTATCTGTGTTGAGTGTGTTTGATCTCTGAATAGATTTTATTTGTATTGATTTCATAGTTTATAAAAGGAAAATATTTAAATCATTTACCATCTTCTATTAATGGGAAATTTTACTCATTTTTATAGGGAAGAATGGACAGAAGCTATCCAGGCTGTAGCAGACAGACTGCAGAGGCAAGAAGAGGAGAGAATGAATTGTAGTCCAACTTCACAAATTGATAATATAGGAGAGGAAGAGATGGATGCCTCTACAACCCATCATAAAAGAAAGGTAGAAAATAATAACTTATTCCCAGCACAGCATTCATTTGTCTGGAAGAAACATATTAAAAGCTACCATTTGCAGAAAGATGTCAGCCAGTTTTCTTACGATATGTAAATATATTGGTGGGTCTTATTCACATGAATCTGAAATACCTGTTGTTGTTTAAAACCAAATAGGTGAACATTGTTTCAGTGATCCAGCACTTTAGCACTGAATGCTGATAGGGCTCATGTGTGACTGATGTGCCATCACACTACTTTATAATTTGCATTTTTTCCTTATTATTTTTAATACAATTTTAGAAACTTTGTAATAAAATGTTTTCCCTGATGATTTGTTCTTTTCCATTTCGCATTTCGTATTCTCCCGAAAAGCACGAGCAGTAATGGCTCGGATGTACTTCCTGATTGGTGCCCTCAGTCATAGTAAAGTCAGCAGGAAAGTGAACAATCTTGGAAACAATAACTCTTATTTAATGGCTGCTTCTGAGTCAGTAGGGAAATAGACTTTTCCTTCTCTCAGTGTTCCAGCATAATAAGTACGAATTTATATTTTTATGAGCAATATAAATTTTTTCATTGCAATAGAAAATTGAAAAGCAATTTCCTTATTACAAAAATGATATTTTCATGATTAAAGATAGAGGTGTTGAGATAAGCTTGCCATTTATCACTTTAGAATATGTTTGATTTAATAGGTTGTAAATTAATCTTCAGGGAGGAAAACACAAATTTTCAAGGTATTATCCATGAAATTTGGTATTAGCACAGTGATTAAGAACTCTTTGGAGATAGACTGCCTGAGTTCATATCCTCCCTTTTCCACGTTAAACTTGTGGACTTGGTGAAGTTACACACTCACAACATAAAGTTAATTATCCTTTCCTTATGTGAATAAGAATAATATTCTATACTTGATCTGGGCCAAATGTCTGAGATCCCTTTCTGTCTTCATTGTAGATTTCTACTCTGTTTGTTTGTTGAACTGAATCCCTCTTTTCTTTTACGTCAATTTAATCTGCCTTGTTCCTCCATCATTGCAAAAAGAAAAACAAAGTCTAGCTACACCCACCTACCTACTCAGAGATAAGAAAGCTTCTTTTGTACATGTGTAAATTATTTCATTTAAAATGAAATGAAGAATAGTGTAAATCTGATATGGTTAAGTATTTGAACCCCAAATTCAAAATACCTCTATGGATTTTTCTTTTTGGAGACTCAGTTGGAGTAAAAAATTCTAAGAGAAGATGTTTTAGAGTGATGTTTATGTTTAATTATCTTTATGTGGACAAAGAATAGTAGCTAACTTTAATAGCTAATATTTATTGAGCACGTATTACATAAACACTTTAAACATTTTTTTTTTCATTTTGAACTTCAACTATAAGTTAAGTACCATTATTATTCCTGTTTTATAGTTAAGGGAAATAAAGGATGGAAGGATTAAGAAATTTTCCCCTTAATTACACACAGGGTGGGAGCCAGTACTTAACCCCAGGCAGTAAGATCTGAACTCCTCCCTTTCTAGCACTAGGTTGTGATAGTAAAGTTCTACTGGTTTTTTCAAGAATTTACAAGCTTTATTATCAATTGAAATTAACTAATATCCAAATGTCATATAAGGACAACAGTTTTTCATAATATTTTGAGAAACAGAGTATAGTCATAAGAGAATATCTGCATAATTTTGTTTCTAATATAACTTCATTATAAGCATAAAAATTATAGAGATTAGAGAGGCTCAAGATATATGAACCAAGAAAAAGAAATAAGCTGTATATTGACGTGTTACAGTATACAATTAAAAGATCTTATATGTTTGAAGTTCTGTTAACTTTTTTGAAATAATTTAAAATAGTTCTAAATTACTGCAGAAGTTAGTGCAGAAAAAGAACATTTGTACCACTACTAACTCCATAACGGTCCTAATGACTTAGCCTCAAGTGGTAAAATATTACTGTCATTTTCATAAGATAAATGATTCTAGAACTATACCCTTATGTATATCAATTATCATGCAAAGAATTGCAGAAGTTTGGATTATTTTTAAGACTATAACCACACATTGTGAAATAAGAATATTATTCTAATAATTTATAGGATACATTTCCTTCTTTAATTTTTGCCAAATGGCAATAGGATTAAAAGAATAGGTACTGATTATGATGGCTATGGTGACAGTTGTCAGACTGCTATTTCTTGCATGAAATAGGGTTCGTTACCTCCCTTAGTGGTGGATTATCGCCACAGTGTCTGCTCTGCCAGTTAAAAACTCAATTGGAAAGGAAGGATGTTGGGTGTAAAGAGGCAAGGGCCTCACAGACAGATTTAAGTGCTCTTCTTTGTTTGAATTAAAAGAAAATGTGGTTCTATGTTTTAATTAAAAGATAGCGTTTCAGAGGAATTTGCTTAGAGAACCCAGAAGTGCCTAATCTTGGTCAGCCAAGCTACCATTCTTGTATGCCTTGTCAAGTATGTGAAGGGGCATAGCATAAAAGGATAAAAAGCCAAGTGAGAGTCAAAATTCTGCTTAATTTTTAACAGACTAGCATAAGCTTCTCTGGGATCAACTGGCTATAATCTCATGATTTACGTTTAAAGTATAAGCAGTGCCTCCTGCTTTCCCACTAAGTTTGACTCCAGTTCTTGGGATTGTATCACCTAATTCCTGGCTGTAGTAACTCATACCAGTGGCCAGTATCCAGAGAAAAAGAGAAGGAAAAAAAGAACAATGGCCAGACCTGCTGAAATCTCATGATCTCACACTGCATGAATCTGCTTATTTAAAAGGGAGAAGCGACGTAACCAATGTAGAAGTTGACTAATAACATTAGCTCCACCTCTTCCCGTGAGAAAGAGCACCAGGAGAAGTGGGCAGAGATGGAGGCAAAGGAGTGAACTTCGTCAGAGCTCTTTTCCTCTTTCTACTTACTTGGTTTTGCTGTTACATTGTAAATGTATCTGGAATTTATCTTTTTTTGACCAAATATGCTAATACTGTGGTATTCT
This sequence comes from Homo sapiens, assembly GCF_000001405.40. Classification (NCBI taxonomy): domain Eukaryota; kingdom Metazoa; phylum Chordata; class Mammalia; order Primates; family Hominidae; genus Homo; species Homo sapiens. Next base: position 243,642,890 of record NC_000001.11, on the reverse strand, counting down.
TGGAAGTTCTTTATGTTCCTCATTGATTATATGTTTATTTTTAATCTAATTTGTGGGCTAGACAGTGTCTTATATTCTGGTGTGCCTGATTTGAACACATTTATTAAGCATTTGTTATATATGCCCATGTATCTCTTTACCTAAAACAGCCACGTAAACATGTAAAGGGAAGAGTGTAACTGTAAAGTATTTCCCCAATAAATTCTTAAGATCAGGCTTTGGAGGAGGATTATTTTTCTGGAGAGTATTCATACTCCTATATTTTTATTAAAGACTTACTGTGGCTGGGCGTGGTGGCTCACGCCTGTAATCCCAGCACTTTGGGAGGCCAAGGTGGGCGGATCACAAGGTCAGGAGATCGAGACCATCCTGGCTAACACGGTGAAACCCCGTCTCTACTAAAAATACAAAAAATTAACCAGGCGTGGTGGCGGGCGCCTGTAGTCCCAGCTACTCGGGAGGCTGAGGCAGGAGAATGTCGTGATCTCAGGAGGCAGAGCTTGCAGTGAGCCGAGATCGTGCCACTGCACTCTAGCCTGGGCGACAGAGCGAGACTCCGTCTCAAAACAAACAAACAAACAAAAAAAAGGACTTACTGTATCTTTTTCCATAACATCATCCAGAAGACCAAAACATTTTGTAATAGTGTACATTTCATTTGTAAAGACTACACAATTACTGTGTATACCATTCTGACCATGAGCATTTGATAGCAAAAATACCTTTTTAATTTCCTGAAGTTCTGTCAAAATAGATGGGAAATCTGTTTCTGATTTTATCACATACAGTGCTTTTTAACTAATAGTAATTTCCATGTAAATTCCCTTTTTTTTAAAGATTGAGAGTCAAACTGACAAGCTGTGAAGTTCAGTGAAGGCTGTCATACTTTTTTTTTAGCCTCATTGTTCCTAAGAATTGCAATTTTACTATTTACTTATTTATTTATTTTCATTTGAGACAAGGTCTCACTCCTATCACTTAGGCTGGAGTGCAGTGGCACAATCGTGACTCACTGCAGCCTTAACTTCACAGGCTCAGGTAATTCTCCCAACTCAGCCTCCCAGGTAGCTGGGACTACAGACACCTGCCACTGCACTTGGCTAATTTTTGTATTTTTTTGTAGAGACAGGGTTTTGCCATGTTGCCCAGGCTGGTCTCAAACTCATGCACTCAAGTGATCCACCTGCCTTGGTCTTTCAAATTGTGGGATTACAGGTGTGAGCCACCACGCCCAGCCAAGAATAAGGATTGCAATTCTTAAGGAATATAGTAATATTTTATAATTAAATATTGTTTTCAACTGAAAATGTCATAAAGCATTTTACAGATTGTTTTCTAATTTTTACCCCCCAATAATTCAATTTCATTTTCTATGATATTTAATAATAAGGCACAGCAAGTATTATTTTCTAGTGCTTTTAAATAAAAAAATGAGGAACATACTGTCCAAATGAAACTTTGAGCAATAAATTGACACTCTGGCCTGGTTATGAAAATAATGTTTCTGAGTTACTTGCCATGTGTATTAGGGTTCTCTAGAGGGACAGAATTAATAATATATATATATATATGTGTGTATATATGTATGTGTGTGTGTGTGCGTGTGTGTGTGTGTGTATATATATATATATACACACACACATATATATGGAGTTTATTAAGGAGTATTAAACACACGATCACAAGGTTCCACAATAGGCCATCTGCAAACTGAGGAGCAAGGAAGCCAGTTTGAGTCCCAGTGCTGAAGAACTTGGAGTTGATGTTCGAGGGCAGGAAGCCTCCAGCACAGCAGAAAGACGTAGGCTGGGAGGCTAAGCCAGTCTAGCCTTTTCATGTTTTTCTGCCTGCTTTATATTCTAGCCACACTGGCAGCTGATTAGATGGTGCCCACCCGGCTTAAGGGTGGGTATGCCTTTCCCAGCCCACTGACTCAAATATTAATCTCCTTTGGCAACACCCTCACAGATACACCCAGGATCAATATTTTGCATCTTTCAATACAATCAAATTGACACTCAGTATTAACCCTCACGCTGTGGAACAAACTACCTCAAATTTAATGTCTTAAAACAATAGCCATGTAAATATCTCATGATTTTGTAGTTTGGGCCACTCTGTTGGTCTTGCATGCATGGCTCTCAATCAGCTGCCTACAGCTTATACATGGGTGGGCTGGAAAATCCAACAAAACCTTCCTTATGTGTCTGGGGCCTTGGTGCTGACTGTTGGCTATGGTGTCTTGGTTCTCCTCCACTTGGTCTCTCTCTCGGAGTGGTAATTTATCTTCCAGGGTCTCTCCACATGGCCTCTCTCTCCAGCAGGATAATATGGACTAACTGACAGCATTAGAGCTGGCTTTCTAGAGCTTTCCAAGAGAGAGAACGCATAAACTGCCAGGCTTAAAGGCTTTGTCTGTTACTGGCATAGTATCAGTTTGATCATATTCTGTGTTCAAAGCAAGATACAGGGTTAGCCCGGGGAGAGAGAAAGTTGACTCCACCCCTTCATGGGAAGAGTGGAATGTGCATACAGGGAGAAATGGGAATTTGTGGCAGCCATCTTTGCAGACTACCTAGCACAAATAGCTTGTTATGTAGTATTCCCTGATTTTTTCTGCTCTATTAATGCAATTAAATCTAATATTACCTGTTATTTGTTCAAATGACACTAGCTGATTTACTATATTTGATATTTAGAGCTACATGTTTGATTTTTAGTTGAATTAATATATCTTATTATTTTCCCTGCTATCTCTTTGCTACTTTATCTTTGAACTAGAGATATTATTGAATGTAAGACACTTTAATTTGACATTTGGGGAAAATTATAAAAAATATGAGCAGCAAAAAATGTTGAAAGTGAACGTAGGCATTTCTAAAATTTTAAGAATTTTTATGTAATATACATGAGAGATATTGGGATGTAGTTTTCTTGCATTGTTTTCCTCTCATTTTGGTATTGTCAAAAAATTGGGGTTCAGCCTGGGAGACCACATGGGTTCTTGGCTTCACACAAGAAGGAATTCAAGAGCAAACAACAGAATAAAGTGAAAGCAAGTTTATTAAGAAAGTAAAAGAATGAAAGGGTGGCTACTCCATAGGCAGAGCAGCCCTGATGGCTACTGGTTGGCTATTTTTGTGGTTATTTTTTAATCATATGCTAAACAAGGGGTGGATTACTCCTGAGTTTTCTGGTGAAGGGGCAGGGAATTCCCAGAACTGACAGTTTCCCCCGTTTTCAGACCATACAGGGTAACTTCCCGATATGTCATGGCATTTGTAAACTGTCATGGCACTGATGGGAGGTTCCTTTGGCATGATAATATATTATAATGAATGTATAATGAGCAGTGGGGACAACCGGAGGTCACTTTCATCACCATCTTGGTTTTGGTGGGTTTTGACTGGCTTCTTTACTGTATCCTGTTTTACCAGCAGGGTCTTTGTGACCTGCATCTTGTGAAAGGAGACCTGCCAAACTCCTATCTCAGTATCAGGATGATGCTTGTCTCAGAATGAATGAGAAGTATTCCTCATTTTAATTTTCAGAAAGAATTTGTATAAAATTGGTGTCATTTCTTGTTTAAATGTCTGTAGAATTCACCAGTGAAACCATCTGGGCCTGGAGTTTTCTTTGATGAAAGGTATTTAACCACAGACTCAATTTTTCTTAATAAATATGGGGTTATCAAGTTATCTGTTTCTTTCAAAGAAAGAGCTTTCAAAGCTTGAGACTTTCAAGCAATTTGTTCATTTCATCAAAGGTGTCAATTTTATTGTCAAAATGCCATTTATAATAGTCTCTTACGTTTCTTTTAATATCTGTAGAATCTGTAGTGATGCCACCTCTGTCATTCCTGATATTGGTAATTTGTGTCTTCTCTATTTTTCTGACCAACCTGGCCAGAGGCTTATCAATTTTTATTGATCTTTTAGAACTAGCTTTTGGTTTCACTGATTTTTTCTCTACTCTTTTTCTTTCTTTTAAAAATTTAATTGATTTCTGCTCTGATCTGTATCATTTTCTTCTAACTCTTTTGGGTTAACTTGCTTTTTTTTTAAGTTTGTTAAGGTGGAAACTGAAACAATTGATTTGAAATATTTCTCACGTTTACTTTAGATAAATGATAAACAGAAAAAAAAAGTTATAAAAGGCACTAAAATTTTCAGTGACTTGTAATTTCAAGATAAAACCCAAATACTTATTTGATATTTATAAACCTCTAAACTGAGTTTAAATTTATGTAAACTGATCATATACAATTACCTTCTCTTCTCTTCAAAAACCTATTAATATGAAAGTAAAGGAATTTCAAAAGGAGGCAAGTCCACAAAAATGAAAAGCTGGGTCGGGGAGGGGCATTAGGGCACAAATGCCTTCAAAAGTTTGGAAGTTTCTGGAAGAATGTTGATAGAGCAGAGCAGGAAAAGAGTACATAGAGGGGACTGTAGAGAACAAGTGGCACGTGTGACTGGCAAAATCCTCAGGATTACCTGACTTAAGAAAGAGAAGTGAAACTGAAAACAGGCACATTAATTAAAGATATTCTTCTTAGAGCTCCCTTCCTTGCTGTTCTGAATTGCATAAAGTACTCTCTCAGGAATAACAACTGCTTTCTTTGATTTATTTTAACTGAAGTATACGAGGTTCTCGACATTTCTTATAAATATATCCTATATCTCTCTCTTTCTTGGATTTTATCTTTATTTTGCTAGAGTAAATTCTCAGATAGCTCCTTCCAAAGCACTGCTTTTTTAGGCATATTTGGAAATGTTTGTGTGGAACATTTTTGATTATCACATTTTCTGGGGGTAGCAGCACTACTAAATCCTTGAAAACTTGAGTCCTTAAAAATGAGTGAAAATAATTTTTTTCCTCCTTTGCCCTTTTACACAACTGATAATTTCGCTGAGGAATTCTAGGTTCAAAATCATTTTCTCCAACATCTGAGAACTGCTTAAATTATTTTCAGCATCCATGGTTGCTAATGAGACAGCCAATGCCAGTCTGATTCTTTTTCATTTAAATGTGCTTATAAATTGGTAAAATTTGGTTTTGAGTGGATATTGCAAACACATATATATATGCTAACAAATAAATTGCATCAAATACTTCATATTATATTTTTTAATTTGTATTTTTCAGACAATGAATGATTTTGACTATTTGAAACTACTAGGTAAAGGCACTTTTGGGAAAGTTATTTTGGTTCGAGAGAAGGCAAGTGGAAAATACTATGCTATGAAGATTCTGAAGAAAGAAGTCATTATTGCAAAGGTAACTGATTTATTAAAGTTGATTACTAAATTTTTGTTTGCAGTGTGCATGTGTTTGTGGGCTCATGAATTTACATGCTAATGTATGCAAATTCCATTAAACAACCAAAATATGGTTGTAGACTACTGCTACAGTAATTTTTGTGTATTAATATTTGTAATTTTTAAAGTTTTCAGACATTCATAATATTTGTATATTATATACTAAAGCTATTCTCTTAAGGAAATAGAAATGTTTATGTTTGCATGTTTGGGAGAATGTTTTGTGATCTATATCATAATTATACTAGGATTGCTTTTTAATAATTTCTCCTATCGTTCTGAATTTCTTATTAAGATTGACTAGTGTAGATGATTTTTACTCATAAATTCTAAAGCTTATATAACATTGAATGGAAAAACATCCTAAATAGATTTGAAAATACTAGAATGGTGAAATTAAAATAAATTATTTTAGGAAGACTTACTTCCCACCCCCATACCTTTATTCAGCTTAGACCTTTTTAAATAAATAACATGTTAATGATGTCAGTTCTCACTCAGAGTTCTGAACAAAATCCCAATTCCCTCAGGAGATACACTTTACAAATTGGTCCATGCTTTAAGTCTTACTTAATTCAACAAATGACATAAATTACTGTTATACTTTATGGACTACTTCAACTTCCAGTTATTTGCTACTATAGTTTCCTCATCTGGAGTGTATTGCCCCTTACACTTTGTGAAACTTTGTTTCCCTGTCTTTGTACATTTGTTTTGACCTCAACTCCTTTACAAGTCAATGCCCCTATTGGAAAGAACATTGGCTTTGGAATCATACACACCTAGGTTCACTACTCACCTAATAGTCTTTAACAACCAGTACTTTTTAAAGCAGTACTTTGGGGAAGTACTGGTCTCTTAGGGGCATTTGGAAATGTTTATGGGGGGCACATATTTGCTTATCACAGTAACTGAGGAGGAGGGGTACTTCTGACAGTTACCAGGTAGAAGCCGAATGTGCTCAATATCTTGCAGTGTGTTGGGCAACCAATCAGAGCCTTAGTTTTTTTCATTTAAATTGGTATAATAAAACCTCTGGACAGGAATATTTTGAGGATTGGGATATGTAAGGTATTTAGCATCCTAGCTGGCACTTATTATTAATTAAGCTGATATTTTCTGGGAGGTAGTATAATGTCAGGTAGGTTTTGCTGCTTAGTAAGTGATCCAACTTTTTATGCCTTTATTTTCTTATCTACAGAGTGGGGCTAATAGTAGTACCTGCCTCATATGGTTATTTTCAGGGTTAAATGAATAGATAAATATAATAGTACATGCCATCAGTATTAAATAAACTTAACAAATTAAATTACAAATCAAATGAAATTAAAATATGCTATTGTTATAAATATTTGCTATAATTATTATTACTATTATTACTACCTACTGTGTATTATTACTACCTACTGTGTATCAAGCATCAGTAAATATCTATTCCATTCTGTTTTTTCTTTTATATATTAGCCTCACTTGTATCCCATTATTTAATTTCTGTTCATCAGACTGGGGAATATCCTATTAGACACTGTCTTATCTCACTACTTACACTTTTCTGAGTAACTGTACAGAACTACGTATATTTCACAAATGATAGACTATTCTGATTGAAGTAGTGCCTTGCTGCTTTCTCCCAACAAATCTATTTATCGTTTCTTGAAAGAAAATATGCTCATTTATAGCAAGATGATTAACACTATGAAGATTTGGAGTGTGACAAGACCTGGGGTTTGGTTCCTGCTGTGCCCTTCTCAGAGCAACATATCAGGGAAGAAATGATTTTGATATCTTTTTACTGGTGATGTTAATTTTGATTGCTTGACTACAGTGGTGTCTACTGTGTTTCTTCACTTTAAAGTTGCTATTTTTTCCATTCATAAGTAATCAGTATCTTAGAGGAAATACTCTGGGACTATATAAATAACCTATTTTTTCTTAAACTTTTAGGTACTAATTTTAACACCCATATCAGTGGATTTTGCCCATAATAATTATTACTGTTGTGTTCTAATGGTGATTTTCTATTTCCCTCATTCCTTATACATTTATTCTTAGTTAAGCTAAGGGTTTATCAATTTTGTTAATCTTTTCAAAGAACCAACTTTTGGCTTTGTTGACTTTTCTTTGTTTTATCTGTCTTTGCTTTAATCTTTATTTTTTTTTCCTACTGCTTGCTTTGGGTTAATTTATTTTTTTCCTAGTTCCTTAAGTTATAAAGTTAGATTGTTGATTTGCAATCTCTCTTATTTAGTATAAGCATTTATGGCTTTAAATTTCTCCCTTAGCACTGTTTTTGTGGCATCCCATAAATTTTAGTCTGTCGTATTTTTGTTTTCATTCATCTCAAAGTATTTCTAATTTCCTTTGTCATTGATTGTGTCTGTTGTTTAATTTCTACAAATTTGGGAATTTTCTTGTTTTCTTTATATTCTAACTTCATGTTGTAGTTGGAGAAGATACTTTGTATTTGTCTTTTAAAGTTTATTGAGACTTTATTTGTAATCCAACATATGATCTATCCTGGAGAACGTCCCCTATGCACTTGAAAAGACTGTAGATTCTGTTGTTAGGTAGAGTATTTTGTGTATATTTAATAGAGCATTTTGTGTATATGTCTTAGATTTAGTTGCTTTATTGAGTTGTCGAAGTCTTCCGTTGCCTTACTTCTTTCTTTCTGGTTGTTGTATTCATCATTGAGAGTGTAGGGTATTGAAATCTCCAACTATTATTGTAAAATGGTCATTGCTTTCTGCAGTTCTTTCAATTTTTGCCTCATATATTTTGATGGTCTTGTTATTAGGTATGTAAGTGTTTATTATTGTTATATCTTGCTGTATTAACTTTTATTAATAATATCTTTTTTTGGTGTTTTCTGGCCTTTTCATTTAAAGTCTATTTTGTCTGATATTAATATAGCCACCCCTTTTCTCTTTTGGTTACTATGGCAGTACCCCCTTTAGCTGCAGTTTTGCTTTTCATGGTTTGAGTTACCCCCAATCAACCACAGCCTAAATATAGATGAGTATAGTAAAATAAGATATTTTGAGAGAGAGACCATATGCATCACAATAACTTGTATCACAATATATTGTTATAAGTTTTCTATTTTATTATTGTTGTTAATTTACTTTTAATAGTAGCTGTTAATCTACTTTTAATATCCATTTATAAAGGATGTGCCTAATTTACAAATTAAACTTTATCTTAGGTAGTATGTGTAGGAAAAAAACACAGTATATGCAGTTGGCTCTCTGTATTCCATATCCATGGATTCAACCAATGTGGATTTAAAATACTCAAAAATAATAATACAAGAATAAAAATATTAAAAATTAAAAAACCAATGTATTGTAACAGCTATTTACATAACATTTACATTATATCTGATATGATAACTAATCTAGAGATGATTTAAAGTATATGGGAAGATGTGCATAGATTATATGCAAATACTATGCTATTTGATACTAGGGAAGTGAGCATTTGTGGATTTTGTTATCTGCAGGGGGATTTTGAAACCAATCCCCCATGGATATCAAGGAATGACTTTATAGAGTTTGGTACTATCCATGGTTTTAGGCAAATACCAGGGTCTCAAAACATATCCTCCACTAATAAGGGGAACTGCTATATTTTCATGTAATAATTTTTTCTCTTTCACTTTTACCCAGTTTGTGGCTTTTGGAGACAGCATGGAATTGGATCATTCTTATTGTTTGTTTAATCGACTTTCCCAATCTCTTTCTTTTGATTGGAGAGTTTAGTCCATTTATGTTTAAAGTGAGTCGTGATAAGGACTGACTTCGGTCCTTTTGCTATTTATTTTCTATATGCCTCATTGCTTTTTGTCCCTCCTTTTCTACATAAATGCCTTCTTTTGTGTTTAATTGATTTTTTAGTGAAACATTTTAATTCTCTTGTCATTTCCTGTTGTGTATATTCTATAGCTATTTTCTTTGTATAGGTTATATTTAATATCCTGAAGTTATAGTACTGTAATTTAAATTTATACCACCTTAACTTTAATAACCCTCAAAAACTCCACTTCTTTACAATTCTGTCCTTACTCCTTTCAATTGTTGGTGTCTTTAAATTGCATCTTTATGCATTGTGTGTCCAAAAACAAGACTACTAATTTTTTAATGTATGAGTCTCTTTAATCATGTAGAAAGCAAAAAGTGGTATTACAACACAAACTTACAGTAATACTAGCTTTTATATTTTTTTGTGTATTTAGCTTTACCAGATCTTTAATTCTTCATCTGACTTTAAGTGACTGTCTAATGTCCTTATATTTAAACCTGAAGGGTTTAATATAACTCACTATAGCTTTTCTTGTATGACAGGTCCAGTGCTAATGAACTCCCTCAGTTTCTGTTTACCTAGAAATGTCTTGATACCTCCCTCATTTTTTGAAAGATAGTTTTGCTGGATTCTTGCTTTAGTTTTTTTCCTTCAGCACTTTGAATGTATCAACCAATTGCCTTCTGGCCTTCAATGTTTCTGATGAGAAATCTTCGATAATCTTATTAGGGTGCCCTTGTATTTGATGATAAGCAAGCAAAACAGACTCATTGCTAATATGGAAAAAGTTCGAGTGGTCTTGATAGAAGTTCAAACCAGCTGCAACATTCCCTTAAGCCAAAGCCTAATCCAGAGCAAGGCCTTAATTCTCCCAATTCTGTGAAGGGTGAGAGAAGTAAGGAAGCTGCAGAAGAACAGTTGGAAGCTAGGAAAGGTTGGCGTGTGAGGTTTAAGGAAAGACACCATCTCTATAGCCTAAAAGTGCAATGTGAAACCACAAGTGCTGACACAGAAGCTGCAGCAAGTTATCCAGATATCTAGCTAAATAATTGGTGAAGATGACTACACGAAACCACAGATTTTCCATGTAGTTGAACTTAGGACTTCCTTAGAAAGGAGAAGTCATTGCCTGGCTCTAAAGCTTCCAAGGGCAGATTGACTCTCTCAGTAGTGGCTATGCAGTTGGTGACTTTAAGTTGAAGCCATTGCTCCTTTACCATTTCAAAAATCCTAGGGCCCTTAAGAATTATGGTAACTCTACACTGCCTGTTCTCTTATCAGTAAAGCAACAAAGCTTGGATGACAAGCACATCTGCTTACAGTATGTTTTACTGAATATTTTAGGCCCGCTGTGGAGACCTCCTCAGAAAAAAAGATTACTTTTTAAATATTACTGCTCATTGACAATGCACCAGATATACAAAAGCTCTGATGGAGATATACAAGGAGATGAATGTTGTTTTCATGCCTGCTAACCCAGCGTCAGTTCTGCAGCTCATTATCAACGTCCATTCTGCAGCCCATTATTTCAACTTTCAAGTCTTATTATTTAAGAAATACATTTTGTAATAGACAGTAATTACTGCCATAGATAGTAATTCCTCTGCTGATAGATCCAAGGAAACTTAATTGAAAACCTTTTGGGAAAGATTCACCATTCTAGATGCCTTGAAAAACATTCAGTCTTCATGAATGTTCATGGAAGGAGGTCAGAATATCAACATTAATAGGAGTGTGTAAGAAGTTGATTCCAATCTTCATGGATGAGTTTGAGGGGTTCAAGACTCCAGTGGAGGAAATAACTGCAGAGGTGGTAGAAATAGCAAGAGAACTAGAATTAGCAGTGGAGCCTGAAGATAGGACTAAATTTTATCAGGCCCATGATGAAACATGAACAAATGAGGATTTGCTTCTTATGGATGAGCAAAGAAACTGGTTTCTTGAGATAGGATCTACTCTTTGAGAAGATGCCATGAACATTGCTGAAATAACAGCAAAGGATTTAGAAAATTACATAAACTTAGTTGATAAAGCAGTGGCAGGTTGTGAAAGGATTGACTCCGATTGTGAAGAAAGTTGTGCTGTGGATAAGCAGCATGGCATGCGAAAGAGAAAGCCTTTCTTGGAAGAGAAAGTCAATATGGGAAACTTCATTGTTTTCTCATTTTAAGAAATTGCCACGCTGGGCATGGTGGCTCATGTCTGTAATCCCAGCACTTTGGGAGGCCAAAGCAGGCAGATCGCTTGAGGTCAGGGGTTCAAGACCAGCCTGGCCAATATGGTGAAACCTTGTCTCTACTAAAAATACAAAAATTAGTTGGGTGTGATGGCAGGTGCCTGTAATCCCAGCTACTTGGGAGGCTGAGGCATGAGAATTGCTTGAATACCAAGATCGTGCCACTGCACTCCAGCCTGGGTGCCAGAGCAAGACTTCGTCTCAAAAAAAAGAAAGAAATTGCCACACCCACTCTCACCTTTGGCAACTGCCACCCTGATCACTCAGCAGCCATCAACGTCAAGAGAAGACCTTCTGCCAGCAAAAAGATAACAACTTGCTGAGGGCTCAGATGACCCTTAGCCTTTTTTGGCAGTCAAGTATTTTTAAATTAAGGTATATACATTTCTTTAGACATAGTGCTGTTACACACTTAATAGACTACAGTATAGTGCAGTGTAAACATAACTTATATGCACTGGGACACCACAAAGTTAGTGTGACTCGTTTTATTGCAATACTTTTGTTGTGGTGGTCTGGAACAAAACCTGACGTATGCCTGTATGGAAAAAAAAAAAAGAGGCTATTTGGTTGAGACATGAAACATTGGTTCTTGAGAAGCCCAGGTCTATTGATGTAGAGTAACCTTTCCTTCATTACAGGTCTGACCATACTATTTGATTGTCCCATGAATAATATTCATTTACTTACACCATTGGAAACACCAAATTGGCGTTCAGTTTTTAGGATTTATCAATAGACAAAGCACCGAAGACTTAAGTATAGTTACAGAACAGACTGAAAATGTTATAAACCCTGTCAGTGTAAAAGAAATGGTATAGTTGATGGATGTCAGCTGAAAGCATGTTATAATTTTTTTTTTAAAAAAAAGCAAGAATGAATTGGAGGCCAGAGACAGGGTGATGGAGCCACCAGGGTTGCAAAGGCAGAGGTTGATGGAGCCACCATGGGCCTAGAGGACAGAAATACAAATTACTGAGGATTAGTTACAGACCTTGAAATCGAATTTCCCTTGCTGGGTTTAGAACTTGCTTGGAATCAGTGATGTTTTTATTTCTTCCAATTTCTCCCTTTCTGAGTGGGAATATCTGTCCTAGGCCTTTTCTACCATTGTATTTTGGAAGCAGATAACTTGTTTTCTAGTGTGAGAGGTCCACAGATTTAGAGGAATTTTGCCCCAGGGTGGATTATGCATAGAGTCTCACCCATTCCTGATTTGGGTTATAACACTTGGGACTTTTGAGCTGATGATATTTAAATGAGATTTTGGACTTTGACTTGATACTGCACTGGTTGAGACTTCTGGGGATATTGGCTGTAAAGTATGGCGTATGGGCTATAAAGTACATTCTTTGGTCTGAAGACATGTAACTTGGTGGGGGTGCAGTACCTTCTGTTCCAGTCATCTTACGGTATTTTGAGCTTTTGTATCTACCATTGGGTATGCAAAGCCCAATCCACTGTAAACGTCTATTTCCAAGAATTACCATTTATAGCTTCCTGGGGATAGTGGCAGTAGCTCAGTGTAGTGTATTTGCCAACTATATATGGGAGTGGGGGGACTTTTTTCTGGGGAATATATGCCATAGTCATCTGCAGTCTCTTTCTCCCTTTCTGGCAGACAGGATGGCTCTTTCTGGAATTTTGTGCATCAGAGGGTACAAGAGGAATATATCAATGGCCAGCCCATCTCTGTCTGCATTGCTGCATATCTCCCATATCTTTTTTATTTTTATTTTTGGAGACAAAGTCTCACTCAGTCGCCCAGGCTGGAGTGCAGTGGCGCGATCTCGGCTCACTGCAAGCCCCGCCTCCTGGGTTCACGCCATTCTCCTGCCTCAGCCTCCTGAGTAGCTGGGACTACAGGTGCCCACCACCACGCCTGGCTAATTTTTTGTACTTTTAGTAGAGACGGGGTTTCACCATGTTAGCCAGGATGGTCTCGGTCTCCTGACCTCATGATCCACCCGCCTTGGCCTCCCAAAGTGCTGGGATTACAGGCATGAGCCACTGTGCCCGGCCAATATCTCCCATATCTACTTATTTTGGGGACCCAGATAGCCACCTCAAACAAGCATGCTGGGACATCCACTTGCTGGTTCCAGTCATCTCCTGATCCTGAAAGAAGTTCTTTTGATGACCATCAACATGTCCTACTTTAATTCACCCCTTAAATTCCCATAATGATTCTCATAGAGCCATGCCTCATTAATCACCCATCCATTTATTATTTATTTTGTTTACTTATTTATTTTTGAGATGGAGTTTTGCTCTTGTTGCCCAGGCTGGAATGCAATGGTGCAAACTCAGCTCACTGCAACCTCTGCCTCCCAGGTGCAAGAGATTCTCCTGCCTCAGCCTCCCAAGTAGCTGAGATTACAGGCATTCACCACCACACCTGGCTAACTTTTTGTATTTAGTAGAGGCGGGGTTTCACCATGTTGGTCAGGCTGGTCTCAAACTCCTGACCTCAGGTGATCCACCTGCCTCGGCCTCCCAAAGTGCTGGGATTACAGGCGTGAGCCACCATGCCTGGCACATCCATTTAATAGTCTAGTTTTTCACTGCCTGTCAGCCTGACCATATGGCCAGGCAAATGGCCACAGCCCATTCATGGGTGTACATCCACACATGAAGGTTATGTTTGTTTAGTTCATCCATCATTGCAAGGAGAACAATGTACAATTGAGCCCTTTGAGCTGATTTGTTGTTCTTTCATCAGTTTCACATCAGTCAGTTATAGTGTGACAGCCTTCCAAACAGGATGCTGGCTGATTACCTTTGAACTGCTATCATCTGTAAAACAAGCCACTTTTTGGTGGTCAGTGAGAGCTCTTTGTAAGACACTAGCATTTGAACAGTAGGATGTGGCAATAGGATCTGGTAGCTTTACAGATGGTTCCAAAGTTGATCTGGAAGAAAAGAGGAGGCCAAGCGTGATGACTCATGGCTGCAGTCTCAACACTTTGGGAGGCCAAGGCAGGAGAATCGCATGAGTCCAGGAGTTCAGACTCAGACTCAGCCTGGGCAACATAGTGAGACTCCCATCTCTACAAAAAATAAAAATTAGCCAGGTGTGGTGGCATGCCTCTGGTGATACCAGCTACTCATTTGGCTGAGATGCGGGATTGCTTGAGCCTGGGAGGTCAAGGCTGCAGTGAGTTGTGATTGCCCCCACTGTATTCAGCCTGGTTGACACAAAGTGAGACCCTGTCTCAAAAAAAAAAAGGTTTTCTTCTATTGAATATGGTAAGTGTCTTCTTGCATTCCTCAGCACATTCCCGTTAAGCCATTTTCATTTTGTTATTGGTACTCGTTAGAGTGTTTCTCTGACATTACCCAAGACATGGATATTTTAGGTTTTAGGATTATGTTATGTCCTTCAGTCATAAAGACAGTTGCAGTTAATGCCCGGGAGCAAACCAATAATCGTCTCTCTAATGATGTGTTCTATACTTTCTTGTCTGGCCCATGGTCCCAGTGGTTACTGCTGGACAGCATTCATGGGCTTTTTGCCATAAGCTCCAGTCTGAGTTGCAGATACTTCTAAAATCATATCTGAGTGTATATCGTAAGGACCCAAAGGCATTAATTGAGCCACTGCAACTTAGATAATAGCCTGCTGTTGTTTAGGTTTCCATTCATATGTGTCCTTTCAGGTAGTTTTACGGATTGGATTTAGCACTAGTCCCCAGATACAGAATTTTTCTTCGCAAAACTCAAGCAAACCAGCTGCAGTGAATGCTGCTTGTTTACTTTCATGGTTATGTAATAAGAGCAATTTAATTTTAGTTGCCTGTAGAATGTTATGGGTGGTTCCTGCCCAGGTTATTCGTAAGAATTTCACAGTTTGGTTAGACCCTGGGGTATTTGCTGGATTTATCCTCCAGCCTGTGGTATTCCTGTGAGCCACCACTATTTTCAAGTTAGCCCTAGCTTGTTCTTAGGTTTCTGATACCGTCATAATGTCATCAGTGTAGTATATTATTGTATTCTGGACCTGTATCAAGTCAGAATCCCTTCGAAACAAATTATAATGGTAAGCTGATAAATGCAGATAAACCTGCAGCACTGCAGTAAGTATAAATTGGGATCATTCCCACTAGAAGGCAAAGTGCAGTTGTTTTTTTCCTGAGATTGGGACCAAGAAAAAAGTATTTTCAAGATCAATCAGTATGTCTCTCTCTCTTTTTTTTTTTTTAATTGAAACAGGGTCTCACTATGTTGTCCAGGCTAGTCTTACACTCCTGGACTCAAGTGATCCTCCTGCCTTGGCCTCCCAAAGTGCTGGGATTACAGGTGTGAGCCACTATGTCTGGCTGAGTATGTCTCTTTTAGATTGTTTTATTTTGAGAACTTCTGAAACCATGTCAGAGACTGCTGATGCTGTAGATGATACTATATTATTCAAGTCTTGATTATCTGCTGTGAGTTTTCATGAATAATTCACCTTTTTCATGCACGACACAGAACTTGTTGGTAACAGCACTCCAGTGTCGAACATGTCATTAATTCATGTGCTAAATCTCTTTTGGTCCACCATGATACTGTTTCAAATTAACAACCTATGTGAGCTGGGGAAGTTGCACAGATTCTCATTTAGCCTGTTCTGACTGAAGGGAAAACTAACAAGCTTTCTGCAGTATAGTAGCTGAAGTTTTCCCTGGTCAAACATCATATCCTTCCCCAAAACATATTCAGGTAATGTGGATGCAAGTACTTCCAAGATTCATTCAAACATACTAATTTTCATCCAAATTTTAATTTAATCCTATCAGCCATTTCATCCTCATATCCTGTCTTTCTAGTTATTGCCTCTGCTAGGATTTTACCAATAGGTTTTGGAATCAGAGGCACTGAATTCTATGTCAGGAACCCCTGGAAGGTTTCTTTTTTACCTTCTATTGTACCTACAGGTGTGCATATGGCCTTCAGTCCCTACTAGGAGATTAGTTAAAAGAAAGCCCTGGTTCTGTGTCAGTCCTCATCCTGATTAATTTGGTAGCCCATCACCTCTGATGATTTGAACTGAGGTTCTTCATTGTCATTTTTGCTTCCCAGCTTGGTGCATTCTTTGAAATTAGGGTGCATAGAGTGTTTGTTTAGGGCCCTTCAGTGTTGGGGGACTAAGAGGCGCTCCCATTGGTAAACCTAACTTCTGATAGTGCAGCATTAAGACCTTTGTGTTAACATCAGTGTCCATTTTATTCATCCCATCTCTTAGTAACCGTTTAAAACTTCATCCTGCTTGGGACTTCGTTGACTATCTGTTTTGTGTTACCCATTCACTTGTGATTCAGTCTTATTTTCTTAGCATCTGTAAGACCCATATTAAGAAGCTGAGACAACAAATCTGACACATTTCTTGGACCATTGATAGATTTTGCAGCAGTTATATCAGATGCCTGCCTAGCGGGGCCCCTTCAGTCACAGTATTTACCATGATTTAAAGGGCATATTAAGGATGAACAAACATCCTGATGACCATGAAGTTAATCCAGCATGGTTTGCATATGCAGCTTACCAGCTATGTCATCTATGGAGGAGTGCCACTTGGCATTTAAAGGAGGGGAAGGACCATTTCCCTTTTCAGGGTAAACAAATTTTACAGTGGCTTTTACCCAGTCCACCAGACTAGCTGTCCCTTTAGGAACAATCTATTGTGTGTTTGGATCATGTACAACAATCCATGATTGTTCAGTAATAAGGTTCCTGCATCAACCCCAAGCAGACTTCTTCATTCTGCAACATTCAGAATCAAAGATACTGCTCCCAAGTTAGTCACTCTCACAATCTATTTTCTTAAATGTTTTTCAGGAACCCGATGAATACCAGTTCACAAGGCAAGATAACTCCTTCACACATAACCCCTGCTTCCAGTACTGTCTTGGTTTTGTCACCCACCATTTGGACAATGTTCCTGGTGGTCAAAGGCCATAGATATACTGTCTGTTTTTTTCAGCATAATTTTCCATTGGGTTTATCCTGGAGGCTAACAGCCATAGCTCAAGCTAACCAAAATCCAAGCTTTTTGAGCATCAGGATTTCCTTAACACTCTCTCTTACTTTCATTTTAGCTGTTTTAAAATACAGCAGACTGGGCCAGGCGCAGTGGCTCACATTGGTAATCCCAGTACGTTGGGAGGCCAAGTCGGGCAGATCACTTGAGGCCAGGAGTTTGAGACCAGCCTGACCAACATGGTGAAACCCTGTCTCCACTAAAAATACAGAAAATTAGCTTGGCTTGGTGGCATGCGTCTGTAATCCCAGCTACTTGAGGGGCTGAGGCAGGAGAATCACTGGAACCCAGGAGGCAGAGGTTGCAGTGATCTGAGATCATGCCACTGTACTCCAGCCTGGGAGACACAGCGAGACTCCCTCTCAAAAAAAAAAAAAAAAAAAAAAAAACACAAACTGCAGTGGCAATAAGACCAGCAGCTCCTCACTTCTGTCTCTAAAGTGGGGAAAGGGCAAGGGTGGAGGAGGCTTTCTGTAATACCTGGAAGCTGACCGACAGAACTTTGATGAGTACATGAAGGCTCTAGGGATGGGCTTTGTCACTAGGCAGGTGGGAAATGTGGACAAACCAAGAGTGATTATCAGTCAAGAAGAAGACAAAAGGTGGTGATCAGGATTCAAAGTATGTTCAAGAACACAGAGGTTAGTTTCCATCTGGGAGAAGAGTTTGATGAAACCACTACAGATGACAGAAACTGCAAGTTTGTTGTTAGTCTGGACAGAGACAAACTCATTCACATACAGAAATGGGATGACAAAGAAACATATTTTATAAGAGAAATTAAGTATGGTGAAATGGTTATGACTTACTTTTGGTGATGATGTGGTTGCCGTTCACCACTATAAGAAGGCATAAAAATGTTCATGATTTGGAGCTGGAAGAGCTCTTTAGTTTTCCTCTTTACTCAAGTCTCAGTGCTATCCTGCTGTTACAGTATGGTTGATTAAATGGTTATTCTTGGTGTGGAGGTGGAAAATGGTGATTTAAGAGTTTGTTATTCCAAGCAGTTAGCCTAATTTTAACCTGGAAGTTTATCATGTTTTATAATTAAATTTTTGTCTTAAAAAAAGTGGATACATTTTATAATTTCCTTTGAAATGCAAATCAAATTGGAATAAAAATCTTACATGTGGGGAAAAAAGTACACGTTACCAGTGGATTGTGTATTTAGCTTGTTTCTCATCATTTTGCATTTCTTTATGTATCCAGTGATCTAAGTCCTTGAGATTTTGGTCTGTCATTTCTAAATTCCATTGACAACTTCTATATGTAGTAACAGCACAGTACAGCTGCCGTCTCATGCCATTGGTGACTGTATACCCATTTAGGCATCAGAGTTTGTCATTGTCTGCCCTGTCATTCTTCCTTTTTTGAAACAATGTTTTTGCCATGCTTTAATGAGTCCTACTTATGATGGCAACTGTGTCAGCTGTCCCTAAGACCACTCTCAGGCTCAGTGAGTCATGACTCACAAGACTCAGAAAAGACTCATGGTTATTGTTTATGATAGTGAAAAGTACAGATTAAAATCAGCAAAGGGAAAACCACATAGAGCAAAATCCTGGAGAAACCAAGTGCAAGCTTTAAGGTATCTTCTTCCAGTGGAGTCACATGGATGATGTGGTGAAATCAAGGATCTCCAGAGAGACAGACACAATCGGATACATATACATATATGAGAGAGAATTCACTGGGAAATTGGCTCATGTGATTATGGAGGTTGAAAATTCCCAAGACAGGCCATCTGGAAGCTGGAGACCTTGGGATGCTGGTAACGTATCTCCGTCCAAGTTCCCTGGGAAGCTGATGGTGTAATTCTTAGTCTGAGGCTAAGGGCCAGGAACCTGGGTTTTGGTGGGAAACTAGGGAGTTGCTGGTATAAAGCCTGGAGTCCAAATGTCAGAGAGCCTAGAGTTCTGATGTCCAAGGACAGGAGAAGAGGAGTGTCCCCATTCCAGGAGAGTGCCTTTTCTTTGCTTTTTTGGGTCCTATTTGGGCTCTTAGTTGATTGGATGGTGTCTGCTCACATTGTGGGTGAATATTTCTCACTCAGTCCATCAATTCACATTCCAGTCTCCTCTGGAAACACAGAAACAGCTATTAGTAATGCTTTACCAGTTCTCTAGGTATTCCTTAATCCAGTCAAGTTGACACATAAGTGCATCTGTGATGGTTAATTTTAATTCTCCCAGTAGTGAAGTGTTGTCAACTAAAGAAGCTTACCTGAGCCTTGGTGTCCAGGGTTTTTATTGGAAGTCAGTCACATAGGCAAGCAGTACCTTCATGACTGCCCTGAGATGCTCAGATTCCAACCTCTCAGAGCAAAATCAGGCACGAAGTATTAATCATGCATCCTGTTGTTTGCATAAACTATCTAGTCAAACTGGTACCATGTGGCCCAAGATCTCCAGCATACAAAAATACTCTGACCAGGCAGAATATTTCAGAGGCTCAGAATTCATTTCCCAGGAGTTGGCCAACGGCGCCAGTTCTGAAGACTGACTTTTTTGGGAATGTGTAGAGTTTGGGCAACCCAGGCCTGATGTGTTACCCTTTTTCTGCACGTAAGTCCATTAAAATAACCCAATGCGTTTGCTTGATTACTGGCATCTCTTTTTCCTTGGACTCTTAAGTTCTTACTGGTGGATCTTAACTGAAATCTCTTAACGTGATCAGCCAGTTACTTTGTTCTCTTCTTTCATATTCTTTTGAACCTCTGTATTAAACATTGCATCAACGATTGTGGTTTATTGTAGGAAGCAGATAATGGTTTGATCTGCTATACCTTCATCAACTGTCATTGTTCTATTGGGAGTATGATTTCAGTGATTTATGTTCTAGAGTTATTTCATGTAGTTCGTGTAGCTTCTATTCTTCAGCAGCATGCACCAAGGTTATTCGTTATTTACTAGTTCATTCACTCATTATTTCAATAAATATATGTCGAACACCTAATTATTTGCTAGGTACTGCTCTAGGCACTGGGACCATTTGAACGAATAAAACTGACAAACTCCTCTCCTTTGGGAAATTTTATTCAAGTCAGCAATTAGAGAATAAATAATACACATAATAAATAAACCATAGAGTATGTAATAAACTAATCCATACTTACAGAGAAAAGTGGAGTAGGGAAATAAGGAATAATGATGGTAGCGATTTTGGGGACTTAATGCAGTTTTAAATAGCATGACTATGGAAGGCCTCACTGAAAGGTGAAATTTCAGCAAGCATTTGAAGGAGATCAGGAAGCAAGTCCTTTAGATATTTTGAAGGAAGAATGTTCCAGCAAGGGGAAATAGCAATTGAGAAGGCCCTGAGGAGGGAGCTTACTTAGCACATTCTAACACATTCTTTGAATAGCTAGGAGTCTAGCATGGTGTGGAACAAGAATGGTGTAGGATGTTTGTAAGGATATTGGCTTTTACTGTGAATGAAGTGGGAAGCCTTTGGAAATTTTTATGCCGTGTAGTTACACAGTCTAGTTTTCAGTATCACTTTGGCTGCAGTGTTGACAATAGACTGTGGATTGGAAGCAGATAGTTTGCTAATTGCAGCAGTAATCTAGATAATTGATGATAGTGGCTTGTACTAGGGTAGTAGCAATGGAGGTAGTGATGATAATGAGACCTTGGGTGTATTTTGATGAAGAACCAACAGGATTGCTTGACAGATTGAATGTAGAGTATGAGTGGGAAAAAAAAGGAGTTGGAGATCATTGTTAAGATGTTTGGTCTAAGCAACTGAAAGCATGGTATTGCCATTCACTACATTGAAGTTGACTGCAGGAGAAACTTTTCAAGGGGAGATTTGGAATTAGGTTTTAGATATGTCAAATTTGCTATTTTTGTTAGATACTCCAGTTTATGTCACTGATTATACATCCATGCCAAATAGGCATTTTTTAAGTTTAGGAAAGAAGTCTAGATTTGAGGTATAAATTTGGAAGTCTGTCAGCATATATCCTGTATTAGAGCCATAGTCTGAATGAGTTTACCAAAGGAAGAGTGTACCCAGTGAAGAGAATTCTGAGGACTGAGTCCTGGAGATGCTTACAGAATAAGGGTTTCAGAGCAAAGGAAGCAGCAAATGAGACTGCGGAAAGACAACCACTGAAGAGGAGGAAGATGAAGAGATTAGGATGTCCTGGGACCCAAAAGAAGAACACGTTTTCAGGAGGAAGGAGTGATCAAATGTGTTAAATGTTACGTTTATGGCTTCTCTTCTGAGTAGGAAGTAAGATCGCATTTTGAAAGTGTGAACGAGTGAGGCTGAGATAAAGAGAGACAAATAAATGAAAAGCTCCTGTGCTTGGAAGTCAGCACAGACCTGGGTTCTAGTCTTAGCTTAGTAGCTTGACTAGGTAAGGGTTAGTGTGTACATTTAAGTATACCTACCAGGCAAGGAAGAAGGCCTGGGAAAGATTTGAAACAACCATCCTGAGAAATTGAAGAGTGACCTAAGTAGCGATGGATGAAAGAGGCCTCAGAAGATTCAGCTGAGTTTTTAGGGAGATTCCAATGGTGTTAGTCAATATGTTTGTGTAAATTTATCTTTAGATGTGAAATATAGAGTTAAGAGGGTAGAGATGAACTTGTCCCAATACCGCGTATGAGAGAGGCAGAAGAAAGACTGGAGTCCAAAGTGATTATATCATGATGGAAGTCAAAGGAGTTCATTTGGCCTTCATCTAAGGAATATTTGGAACTGGAGCATCAAGAACAAAGTATCAAACACAATACTCGAGAAAGGCGCAATAATGTTTGTAGTTAACAGAGAACAACGGTGCTTTCATCTCCATCAAGGTGAGAAATCTTCAAAAAAAGGAATAGAAATCAAGGAACAGAAGACAGTCTGACAGCTGGAGAATGGAAGAAGTATTAGAAGTCATTATCTGGGCCAGTGCTCAAGTTTTCAAGAAACAAAAGTTAGAACCCAAAATTTAGAGCTTGATAAGTGTGACATGTCTCCTCTGGCAGGAAAAAAAAAAGTATACATTGCTAACATATGGCTTGTTGAGACAGTGGAAAAGTAAATAATAATCACTGGTAATCATTGTTTAATTTGTAAAAGTGTGTCATATCACTACTCATCAGGGAAATGCAAATCAAAACCACAATGTGATATCATCTGTATTAGTTCATTCTCACACTGGTATAAAGAACTGCCCAAGATTGGGTAATTTATAAAGAAAAGAGGTTTAATTGACTCACAGTTCTGCATGGCTGGGGAGGCTTCAGGAAACTTACAGTCATGATGGAAGGGGGAAGAGGCATGTCTTGTGTGGTATCAGGCGAAGAAAGGGCGAGTGTGTGAAGAGGAACTGTCAGACACTTATAAAACCATCAGAGCTCCTAAGAATTCACTCACTATCACAAGAACAGCGTGGGGGACACTGCCCCCTGATCCCAGTCACCTCCCAGCAGGTCTCTCCCTCGACATGTAGGGATTATGGGGATTACAATTCAAGATGAGACTTGGGTGGATACCTAACCATATCATCATCTCACCCCAGTTACAATGACTTTTATCAAAAAAACAAAAAAATCACAGATGCTAAAGGGAACTCTCCTATGCTGTTGGTGGGAATGTAAATCAGTATAACCACTATAGAAAACCATATGAAAGTTCCTCAAAAACTAAAAATAGAACTACCATATATATATCCAAAACAAAGGAAATCATCATATCGGGGAGACATCTACACCCTTAGGTTTATTGCAGCACTATTCACAACAGCCAAAATATGTAATCAACCTAAGTGCCCATCAATGAATGAAAGGATAAATGCGATATATGTACAGAGTGGAATATTACTTAGCCATAAAAAGAATGAAATCACGTTATCTGCAGCAACATTGATGGAAATGGAACCCATTATGTTAAGTGAAATAAGCCAGGCACAGAAAGACAAATATTGCACATTTTTGTTCTTATGTGGGAGCTAAAAAACGGGATTGCATCAAGATAGACAGTAGATTGGTTGTTCCTAGAGGCTGGGAATGGTAGGGGGATGGGGAGATGGAGTTGATTAATAGGTACAGAAGTACAGTTGTAATAAGACCTAGTGTTAGATAGTTCAGTAGGGCGACTATAGTTAACAACCACCTACTGTGTATTTTAAAATAGCTGGAAGAGAAGAATTTGAATGTCTCCAGCATAAAGAAAAGTTAAAGGTTGGAGGTGATGAATATCCCCATTACCCTAATTTGGTCATTACACATATGGAATGTGTCAAAACAACACATGTACCCCGAAAATGTATACAACTATTATGTATCGAAAAAACATGTGCCAAAGTAACATTTCTCTACCCTCTTCCCGTTTCTCCCACCTGATTCGTGTCTTCCTCTAGGTCTCATTTATAGCTCTGGGTGGATGGAGGAAATGGTTTAGACGGAATGTGTCTTGATTTCAACTAGACTTGTGGTCAATTTGGAGAAAATAATGTGAGCAGAGTACCTAGTGAAGTAGATAGTAGGTTGTTTGAAGATGGGAGGCAGTTTTGTGAAGTAGAAATGACCTTTACTATTGAACTTAGATGTGGGATCAGTTGGTGCAGGGATTAAAGGAGATGACACTCATGGTGTTCTTGATCATTAAGGGTAGAAATTTTCTTTTTCTCCTCTTGTTTGCCCTCTCCTACACCTCATTCCCTCAAATAACCTAATTACCACAAAACATCGAGAGGGTCAAATGAAAGGAGAACTTTAGATCGTGTGTAATAGAGGGTGAATGATAAATTGGAGAGGATTGGGAAAATAAAATATTAAAAAGACTATTCTTCTGCCTGAAGAAATAAAATCCCATTCCCCCTAATTCTTCTATGAAAGAAATTAGATTTAAAAGTTCATTATTTACTATTTTACCATGGATAAATATATGTAAATTTGTATTTCAAAAGCTTTTCCATGAAAAAAATACATTGTATCCCCAAGCATTTCTAGAACTCTTCATAATTATGATCAACAGATGGATTTTTTAAAAGGCATCACATTGTTTTAGTCACTGTTTTACTACTGTTATTTTTAACTTTTTGTTTTGACATGTTGCTTTTAACTGTAATTAAAAATTATTAGCATCTGTGTTTACTTTTTAGCTTGCGCATACCTTATCTTCATAGCAGAAACTAATTAGTATGTGAAATACAGTACCATTAAATATGCATTAATGGGAAGAAATTCTAATCTGATCAGCTGTAAAATATGTTAGAAAATACATTTTGGTATGTACATGGTGTTCATTCCAGTTCCATTCTCATAACAAATACTGTTTTTGCTTTTGCCTCCATACGTCTTTACTTGGTTCCTTGGATGTGGTCAGATTACAAATTTAGGGGGTAGAAAAGTCTTCCCTCATGAAAGTTACTAAGTGATTTAGAAAAATAACTATTATGCGTGATAAGCCTGTTTTAACAAAATAGAATGTAATACCCCACTGAAAATATTCAAAGCACTAGAATATCTTTTCTATTTCTAAATAAATTTCATACATACTTTTCTCTAGTCTTTTCCTAATTTCTTGACCCAGATCACTTAACATCTTAAACCACAACAGGTAGATGTTATCTTCTGTGAATTTCTTTCTGAACTGCCTATTAAAATGTCTGTGATTCACTCTCATGTTGGAGGCATGTAACTTTTATATTAGCACTGTTAACTTTATATCTCAGAACTATCCCCTTTTTCTTTTTCCGCTGCCACCATAGTAGTCCAAGCCATCCTCACTTCTCTCTTGGGGTTATGTAATGCTTTCCTAATTGATCCTTCTTAGAAGAACGTGAGTAGACTTTCACAAACATGTCACCCCCACCCCATCACTTTCTCTATGTCCCACACCATCACAATACCCAACTTACACTCTACCAATAGCATTGGTTCTCCCTTACAGCCCCGTTGACAATAGTGGATAACCTCCACTTTTTCCTTAATATCACTTATCAGAAAGAGTAATTATTTAAGTTGGATAATTTACTTGTTTGTGTTTTCCACTAGCCTATGAACTCTGTGAGCAATGGGATCTTATTTTTTTTATTAAGTTACCTTATACCAGCACTGTTCTTACCAATTAGTGAGTGCACATCAGCAGTTTTTTTTTTAAGTGAATGGACTTGGTTCAGTATATCACAAAATAGCCACTTGTATAATGCTTAATTATGTATTTCATATTCCCTCTGTGATGCTCATTAACTGTAGTATCCCCTTCTCTGGTTTTTCCCATTAACACTGATCACCATGTAAGTAGAACTAAAGCTCCATGAGAGCAGAGAATTTTGTCTATTTGTTCAGTGTCCTGTCTCTGATGTGCAGACGAATACCCAGAAGATACTTGTTGCATATGTGTTGAAGAAGTCGGTGGGTGGGTGGGTGGGTGGATGGATGAATGAACTCTTGCACACTTGACATCTTGGAATTCTTTCCTATGATACACAATTCAGTTCAATAGACATTTATTAGGTATCTGCTGTATGCTTACCATTATGTTAGGCACAGTGTATATGGAAATCAGTAAGTTCTGGTGTCATTTCTGCTTCTGATTTATTTTGTTTTACAATGTTTGCTATTCTAATTAACTTAGGAACTATAGTACGATATGACATTGGCTTTCAAATTGAGCACTTAAAACTGACTCCTATAAAACAAATAAGACTGAGATGATTTCATGTTTATGCTTTCCTTCACTCGTTGTTAATTATACTTTCTGTTCAGACACAATTGATCTTACCTTCTTTGAATGGTTGTGGGATCTTAGCTTCTTTGATTAATCTAGTTATCATTATCTTTCGAGTTTAAGGTCAAATATTTTTATAAAGATAACAAATATAATGCAGTGTCCTGATGTTTTGCTTTTCATGTCTTTCTTCCATCTAATTTTGATTTTCTGACAGTGTTAAGAAATTGATTCAGCAAGGGCTTTATTTAAGATCTTGCCAGAAGTGAAGAACAGAGATGCTGTGTTCGTTTCAGCAGTTGTCTTCCTTTCGTTTCTTCTTTAAGATAGTGTTACTTTTGAAATATGAAACATTATCTCCAGTTCTCCATATGTTGAAGAAAACACTAGTTTGCTTTTGATATCAATATGAGATTTATGCCCAAAGTTGGGGAAAACATTCTTAGTTTATTTTTGGTTTGAAATATACTTACATTTTAAAATGATCACCTACAGTAGGAGGGTTGTGAGCTTTTTTTTTTTTTTTTTTTTTTTTTAAGAAAAGCACATTAAACCTGTAGTCTCTGGAGCTAAGCTATGAGGACAAAAAAGCAAAAGAAGGATACAGTGGACTTTGGGGAGTTGGGGGAAAGGATGGAAGCAGGGTGAGGCATAAAAGACTACACATTGGGTACAGCATATGCTTCTCAGGTGATGGGTGCACCAAAATCTCAGAAATCACCACTAAAGAACTTATTCATGTAACACCACCTGCTCCCCAAAAACCTATTGAAATAAAAAAAAATGTGTAACACCCACGCCCCCAACCAAAGGAAAAAAAACAACCTGTAGTCTCTGCTACTTGGGAGTCTGAAGCGGGAGGATTCCTTGATCCTCAGGAGTTTGAGCTCAGCCTGGGCAACATAGCAAGACCCTATCTCTAAAAAAATAAATAAGGAAGCATATAAGGCTGGGCATGGTGCCTCACATCTGTAATCCCAGCTACTCAGGAGGCTGAGGCAGGAGTAATGCTTGAGTCCAGGAGTTCAAGGTTACAGTGAGCTGTGATTGTACCACTGTACTCTATCCTGGGCAACAGAGCAAGAACTTGGCTTTAAAAATTAAGACGCAAATTAAAAAGCCACAAGCAGAAAGGTATATATTTTTATACTCTGTTCCTTTCTATTTCTAAAATGTGTAATTTAGAACTAAATATTGCATGTGTATTCTGTGTTCTAATAACTAATTTATTTAAAGTAGGAGACTTTTAAATTCTTTGATATTTATTGGGAAATATATCCTTTCATCCCCCTGAATAAAATGTATTACAAACATGGAGATATTAAATTACCTCATGCAGAAATATTAGTTGATAAATTGTTCCCTTCAAGGAGGAAAGCTCAATATTTAATTTTCTGTGTCCCTGATAATTTTCTGACTGATTTTTGTATCATTATTGATATACTTTGATTAAGTATGAGTGAATTTATATGAACTTATACAATCATCTGAATTAAATCATTAATTTGAGTTTTTTTGTATTTTGGTGGAGAGAATGCTGAGTGGTAAAGGAAGCATGCCACTGTGTTTTAAAATCCTTTTCAATCTCTGGGCTTAACCTCTTCCAATTTTAGAGAAATAGTGAAATTATTATTATCAGTGCTCAAAACATATATTGAAGGTTTGCTTTTTTTCTTTTGTAGGATGAAGTGGCACACACTCTAACTGAAAGCAGAGTATTAAAGAACACTAGACATCCCTTTTTAACAGTAAGTGACTAGAGGACAGATGTTATAATCGTAACATTTGAAATTTAAGGAATTTTATGTTAGAAATTAAATTGTGAAAAATACTATTCATTTAGATATCTCATTTTCTTTGTGGAAAGAACGTAAGTCAAATTTCTTATAACTTATTAGAATGTATGGATTTTTACAGTGTGTATGCATTGATAATTCCTCCCATTATGCATTTATTACTTTTTTGAGAATTTTTTTTCTCCCATGAATCTCTTGCCATTAAAAACAAAAACAAACCATAGAGTTAATACATTACCTCTGGCATTTTAAGGAGACTATTGAGGAAATGGCTGATTTTTAAAAATTTCTTAAATGTAAAGATTTTATGTTTGTTTTATTGGCTTCTGATAAATATCTTAATGATCAGAAGCATTTCTTCAAATATGGAAGGCAGAAATGTTTATCGAATATATTTTATAGAAATGAGACTTCTTTGAGGGATAGAGTACTTTAAGAAATATGGGAATGCTAAATACATTAGAGGTGGGATAAGCCATGCTACGTTTTTTTCACTAGACAAAGTATAAACTGATTATATGGTATGCCTACAACTTAGTTGTCTTGAAAGAAACTGGATTTTTTAGTTCTGTTCTTAGATTCCTTGTAATATAGGGATAATTGGTAAAGTTTCTGTATTTTCTTGGTTCCAATGAACTATATTGAGATGAAAAATAATAGCTAGACTTTCCAAAGTGGAACCCTTTACACTGTTTGGAATATCTGAAATAGACATTTTCAGAGCTGTCAGTAGATACCTAGACTTACTTTGCTACCTTTTTTGGTGTGTTTATTGTCTAGTGTAATAAGATAGCATTTGGGTATTTTTTAATAACCTATATATAACCTACAAAATTATATAAACCAACTCTGTTAGGTTGGGTTCTGTTGTGCACTCAATATGCAAAAAGTGATGTTGTCATTGTATTAGAAACCTGAGTGTAACAACCGTAGCTACATTCCTAAGGAACTTCAACTAGTGTAATTTGTTGGCCACGCTGTGAGGTTGCATGGATGAGAACCTTGAGTACTAATGCAGCTTCAAATCAATGGCAAATTAGATTGAGAAGTGCTTGTTGCAATTAAGTTTACTTTTACTTGAAATTTTAATTTTAGTTTTTCTTGTAATAATACCTATTGTGAACTAAACATTTGTTTTATGTTTCTCATAAACTCTTAAGCACTTTTAAGTAGTAAATAAACTCTTAAACAATAACAATTCTTTTCATCTTTCATGCTTACTATTTCTATGTGTTCTATTTTTAGTACTATTATAATTATAAGAATACAGGATTATAATGTAACATTTTTTCTTTTTTTTATTTCAAGTCCTTGAAATATTCCTTCCAGACAAAAGACCGTTTGTGTTTTGTGATGGAATATGTTAATGGGGGCGAGGTGAGTCAAGAAGTAAATCCAGTATTTGCATGGTAGTATTTTCATTATTTTAAAAACATTACTTAAAATACAAGTTACAATATAGCAGTTCTCCATTTCTTGATAGGAATTTATGTAGCTCTTAATACTATTGAACAAATGGGAGCGAAATTATTTCTGATGAGATGTAATGATTGTTTTTATATAACTACATTTATATGTTGGAAAGCATAATCATATTCTTCTTTTTCCTGTGTTTTTAAATGTAAAAAGTTTTAACAGAAGTATGATTTTTGAAATCATGTTATTAAATTTTGAAAACCAGAAATACAAGATTTATTGTTTCACAAAGTTTCTTTTCAAGTAGGCTGTGAACATGGTCAAAAGTTATTTTACCCATTCTAAACTCAGTGGAACAATAGTCCATGGGCACATTATGGCTGAGTTTTCTCTTCTTTATAGTAGAGTACTATGACTATATATATATATATGTGTGTGTGTGTATGTATATATGAGGGTGTATATATATGTGTATATGTGTATATATATGTATGTATATATGTATATGTATATATATGGGTGGGTATATATGTGTGTGTGTGTGTGTGTGTGTGTATATATATATATATATATAATTTTTTTTTTTTTTTTTTTGAGATGGAGTTTCGCTCTGTCGTCAGGCTGGAGTGCAGCAGCACAATCTAAGCTTACTACCACCTCTGCCTCCCGGGTTCAAGCGATTCTCCTGCCTCAGCCCCCCGAGTAGTTGAGACTACAGGCGCGCACCGCCACACCCAGCTAATTTTTGTATTTTTAGTAGAGATGGGGTTTCACCATGTTGGCCAGGATGGTCTCGATCTCCTGACCTTGTGATCCATCTGCCTCAGCCTCCCAAAGTGCTGGGATTACAGGCGTGAGCCACCACGCCGGGCCTACCATGACTATATTTAAGAGACTGACAATATTTTGGAGATAAATTTAATATTTTTATTAGCACATTTCACTCATTCCTTTATTCCTTCTCCTTTCTCTTCCTTGGTTTTGATCACAGTCAATGTGAGGGAAAAGTAAATTTACTGGAAAAGCTAACTGGAAATATTTTTATTGTGGGCTTTCTGAAATAAATTTAATTATTAAATAGGGTCTTGTTTGTGTCTCATGAACTTAAAATATTCTTATTTTCCAAAATAAATAATTAAATATCCTTTATGGAATTTTTTTCCTGTAGAATTATCTGATTTGCAGGAATTCGTTTGTTGCAAAACTTCATTCATTCAGGGCTTGCATGGTGGCTCAGACTTGTAATCCCAGCAGTTGGGGAGGCTGAGGCGGGTGGATCACTTGAGCTCAGGAGTTTGAGACCGGCCTGGGCAACATAGTGGAAGCTTGTCTCTACAAAAAATAAAAAAATTACCT
The DNA here is from genome assembly GCF_000001405.40 of Homo sapiens. NCBI lineage: Eukaryota > Metazoa > Chordata > Mammalia > Primates > Hominidae > Homo > Homo sapiens. The sequence goes on along the minus strand of NC_000001.11, from coordinate 243,612,275 downwards.
GGACATGGTGGCACACACCCAGCTCCTGTACTCCCAGCTACTGAGGAGCTGAGGCGGGAGGATCACTTGAGCCTGGGAGGTCAAGGCTGCAGTGAGCCATGGTCATGCCACTGCACTTCAGCCTGGGTGACAGAGCATTACCTGGTCTCAAATAAAAAAAAAAAAATCAAAACCCAAAACTTAATTCATTAATTTGGTAAACACATTTTGAGTGCCTAGGCAGTATGGGTTTATGAAAATGTGTTAAGATATTATCCTTGCTGTGAAGGAGTATATAACTTCCCTTAGTGTATTACAAATTAGAATGCATAGTGAAAGACCTAACTTCTAATAAAGTCATAAAAGAAAATGCTTTATGGATGATCTAGCACTTAGAGTAGGCTTAATGAGATTTCACCCAGGGAATTGATGTAAGAAGTTGTTTCAGGCAGAGAGGATGGGATGGGCAGAATCACTGGTGGATGATAGGACAAGATAATTAAATAATAATAACCCAGGAATACAGAACTGGGCCCTTGCAGTAAGATGTCTGAGAAAATACGAAGAAAATGGATGTTGTGGAACTGTAGGATTGGTACATCTTTTTTTTTTTGAGATGGGGTCTGGCTCTGTCATTCAGGCTGGATTGTAGTGGTGCCATCTCTGCTCACTGCAACTTCCACCTCCTAAGCTTAAGCTATCCTCCCATCACAGCCTCCTGTGTAACTGGGACTACAGGCATGCATCACCATGCCTGGCTAATTTCTGTATTTTTTTGTAGAGATAGGGTTTTGCCATGTTGCCTAGGCTGGTCTTGAACTGTTGGCCTCAAGTGATGCACCCACGTCAGCCTTTCACAGGGCTGGGATTACAGACGTGAGCCATCACACCTGGCCATATTGTTACATCTTAATGACCAATTAATTAGATCTTGGTAGAAACAAAAAGGTACAATGAAAAGTGATTTTTGGTTGGAATTTGGGAGCCTTAGCAGATACAGTGCAATTATGAAGAACATGTTAACCTTATAAATTTGGTTTTGAAACAGTTTTTCGTAAGCTTTTAAAGTAATGTATGTGTGGAACTATGATGGAGAGTGGATAAAGAGTCAAAACTGTGGATGCAGTTTTGGCAGCCATTCCCATAAAGATTATAATTTAAGTTATGGGGGTGGAAATGAAATTGATGAAACCTCTTACATCAGTATCTATCAAAATTTAAAATGCGCTTATACTTGGACTCAGCAATTTCATTTCTAAGAATTTATCCTACAGACGTACAGATGCACCACAGAATGATATATAGATAAGTATACTCATTGCAGCATTGTAGCATTTTAAATGAGCATTCGTAAGGAGTCTGCTTAAATAAAGTTACATTCATGCAGTGGAATCTCTATATCCATCTGAAAGAATGAGACAGCCCAATATGGGCATTAATAGAAGTTAAAAAAACTAGGTGCAGACGAGTATAAAGCATACTTCTGTTGTGTTAAAATAAAATTAGACCGTAAACATGTGTATATATGTTTGTCTATTGATCGAGTATCTCTGAAATTATGCACTGGGTATTAGTGCTTGTCTTTGGGAAAATAAACTGAGTGGCCAGGGATAAGATAGGAGGAAGACTTTTCATTTATGTATTTTTCAGTATCTTTTGTGTTTTGTGCCACATACATGTATTATCTAATAGTTGAAAGTAGACAGACAAATAAATGGTTGGATGAATGGATGACCAAGGGAAACAGTAAGACAGATAAAACAGTCCGCAGACAAAAACTTGGAAAAACACTATTAAATGTCTCTCTTTTTTAAACGGTATTGTGTGTTCATGTCTATAGTAACAATTTTCACATTGTTTTACAATTACCTATTTACTTGTCTGTCTTTCCCATCAAAGTGTTAGCTTTCTAAGAGGCTTGTTCACGGTATAACCCTAGCATCTTATTCACTGCTTGTACATAGTTGGTGCTTCACAAATATTCATTGGATTATTTGAATGAATAAGTGAACAAATGGATGAACATTCCCTCAGGGATTAGGGATAAGAGAAGTTAGCTAAAAGGGGTAAAATAGGAACTACTGAGGAGTAGGAAGAAAAATAGAAATTGATGTAGTATACAGTTTATTTTGTTAAAAAAGCTGAAAGTGTAAATTTAGGAGAGGATATCTTTTTATTTCAAAAATACATATGTATTAAGTCTTTGTGGAAGGCACTCTGGTAGATATCTAGGGCATAGAAATCTGAATTAAACATAGATCTTGCCCTCAAAGAGTTTATAGTCTACTGGAGAAAGGGTACAAAAATAATACTAAGTGTGAAATAATTATCACTTCTATCATAACAGATAGATAGATGGTGGGACTTTGGTGGGATGAGGGAAAGCTTCCTAGAGGGCGCTACCTGGCATCTGCACTTCTTTTCTAAACCCGGAGTACTTAAAGATTAATTAATTGATGATTATTGAAAAAAATTTTACACTAAAAGCAGATTTTCAGATTAGCCAGATGATTTTCTTTAGCATTAATACTCCTACATTATTTTTCTTGTTCAGCATATCTTTGTTTTTCTTCAGAATTTCTGTTTTGGATTGGGCTATAGATAAGTATTATTTAATATTTTGAAGCAAGTGAACTGATTCTCTAGGGTCTCACTCCATCACCCTGTCTGGAGTACAGTGGTACAATCTCGGCTCACTGCAACTTCTGCCTCCTGGGCTCAAGCAGTCCTCATGCCTCAGTCTCCCGAGTAGCTAGGATTATAGGTGTGCACCACCACACTTGGCTAATTTTTGTATTTTTAGTAGAAACGGGGTTTGGCCATGTTGGCCAGGCTAGTCTTGAACTCCTGACCTCAAGTGATCTGCCCACCTCGGCCTCCCTGTATGTGGTGTATAATTTTAACATGCGTAGGTAATTACAGTGTTGGTACACACACACACACACACACACACACACACACAGAAAATGAAAAGTTATTTATATTTAATAACTTTAGTAGGAAATAGAATTTTATATATTTAACCTCACAATTTTTTTTTTTTTAGATTATCAGATGTATTTTAAAATAGTTATTTAGTTCTTGGAGTATAGTAGGATTATTTCAATTCTTGATTTATCATGACTGGGGAGGAAATCTATGCTTGATGTGTTTATCCTTGTGGCAACTTGTTTAATTTTGGTTTTGCTTTGGGTTCACCTTGCCATTTATGCTGCCCAGGGATGCCTTATAAAAATGCAGAAAACGACCAGGCGTCGTGGCTCACACCTGTAATCCCAGCACTTTGGGAGGCTGAGGCGGGCAGATCACGAGGTCAGGAGTTCGAGACCAGCCTGGCCAACGTGATGAAACCCCATCTCTACTAAAAATACAAAAAATTAGCCGGGCATGGTGGTGGATGCTTGTAATCCCAGCTCCTTGGGAGGCTAAGGCAGGAGAATTGCTTGAACCCAGGAGGCGGAGGGTGCAGTGAGCCAAGATCACGCCACTGAACTCCAGCCTGGGTGACAGAGCAAGACTCCGTCTCAAAAAAAAAAAAAAAAAAAAAAAAAAAGCAAAAAACTTAATTACTGTAGAAAAAGTATTAAACATAGTAGTTATATTTTTGAAATAGGTTTAAAGTAAGGGAAACAATAAACACACGTAAACAATTCACACTAGCACAATCCACACATATACCAAGACTCAGCCAGTGGGGTAGGATCTGTATGGCATCTAAGGACTTGAGCGTGAGAATACTGGCCTTTTGTAAGCAAGCTCTGGTAAGTTCATAATACCAAAATGGCAGCACACTCAAATCTTTTTATATCAAGTTTTTGCCCTAAGATGAGCTCCTTTAGTGGCCTCGCTGAAATAACTAGCCCAATTTTTACTCAATTTATGCTTATTGTTCACTGATTTTTAATTAACAATAGCATCTTCTTCTTAGTCTA